>NC_000020.11:29884850-29917304 GCF_000001405.40 Homo sapiens | reverse complement strand
TGATTTAAAACTGCTCTATCAAAAGAAGGTTCGACTCTGTGAGTTGAATGCACTTATCACGAAGAAGTTTCTGAGAATGCTTCTGTCTAGTTTTTATGTGAAGATATTTCCTTTTCCACCATAAGCCTCAAAGCGCTCCAAATATCTACTTACAGATTCTACAAAAAGAGTTTCAAAACTGCTCTACAAAAGAAAGGTTCAACTCTGTGAGTTGAATTCACACATCACAAAGAAGTTTCAGAGAATGCTTCTGTCTAGTTTTTATGTGAAGATATTTCCTTTTACACCATAGGCCTCAAACCGCTCCAAATATCCACTTGCAGATTCTGCAAAAAGACTTTTTCAAAACTGCTCAATCAAAGGAAAGGTCAACTCTGTGAGTTGAATGCACACAACACAAACAAGTTTCTGAGAATGCTGCTGTCTAGTTTTTATGTGCGGATATTTCCTTTTCCACCATAGGCATCAAAGCGCTCCAAATATCCAACTGCAGATTCTACAAAAAGAGTGTTTCAAAACTGCTCTATCAAAGAAAGGTTCAACTCTGTGAGTTGAATGCACACATCACAAAGACGTTTCTGAGAATGCTTCTGCTCTAGTTTTTTTGTGAAGGTGTTTCCTTTTCCACCATAGGCCTCAAAGCGCTCCAAATATCCACTTGCAGATTCTTCAGAAAGAGTGTTTCAAAACTGCTCAATCATAGGAAAAGTTCAACTCTGTGAGTTGAATGCACACAACACAAAGAAGTTTCTGAGAATGCTTCTGTCTAGTTTTTATGTGAAGATATTTCCTTTTACACCATAGGCCTCAAACTGCTCCAAATATCCACTTGTGGATTCTACAAAAAGACTTTTTCAAAACTGCTCAATCAAAGGAAAGGTTCAACTCTGTGAGTTGAATGCACACAACACAAACAAGTTTCTGAGAATGCTGCTGTCTAGATTTTATGTGCGGATATTTCGTTTTCCACCATAGGCATCAAAGCGCTCCAAATATCCAACCGCAGATTGTACAAAAATAGTGTTTCAAAACTGCTCTATCAAAAAAAAAGGTTCAACTCTGTGAGTTGAATGCACACATCACAAAGAAGTTTCTGAGAATGCTTCTGCTCTAGTTTTTTTTTGTGAAGGTGTTTCCTTTTCCACCATAGGCCTCAAAGCGCTCCAAATATCCACTTTCAGATTCCTGAAAAAGAGTGTTTTAAAACTCCTCTATCAACATAAGTGTTCAACTCTGTGAGTTGAATGCACTCATCACAAAGATATTTCTGAGAATGCTTCCGCCTAGTTTTTATGTGTAGGTATTTCCTTTTCCACCATAGGCCTCAAAGCACTCCAAATATCCACTTTCAGATTCTAGAAAAAGAGTGATTTAAAACTGCTCTATCAACAGAAAGGTTCGACTCTGTGAGTTGAATGCACTTATCACAAAGAAGTTTCTGAGAATGCTTCTGTCTAGTTTTTATGTGAAGATATTTCCTTTTCCACCATAAGCCTCAAAGCGCTCCAAATATCTACTTACAGATTCTACAAAAAGAGTTTCAAAACTGCTCTACAAAAGAAAGGTTCAACGCTGCGAGTTGAATTCACACATCACAAAGAAGTTTCAGAGAATGCTTCTGTCTAGTTTTTATGTGAAGATATTTCCTTTTACACCATAGGCCTCAAACCGCTCCAAATATCCACTTGCAGATTCTGCAAAAAGCCTTTTTCAAAACTGCTCAATCAAAGGAAAGGTCAACTCTGTGAGTTGAATGCACACAACACAAACAAGTTTCTGAGAATGCTGCTGTCTAGTTTTTATGTGCGGATATTTCCTTTTCCACCATAGGCATCAAAGCGCTCCAAATATCCAACTGCAGATTCTACAAAAAGAGTGTTTCAAAACTGCTCTATCAAAGAAAGGTTCAACTCTGTGAGTTGAATGCACAGATCACAAAGACGTTTCTGAGAATGCTTCTGCTCTAGTTTTTTTGTGAAGGTGTTTCCTTTTCCACCATAGGCCTCAAAGCGCTCCAAATATCCACTTGCAGATTCTTCAGAAAGAGTGTTTCAAAACTGCTCAATCATAGGAAAAGTTCAACTCTGTGAGTTGAATGCACACAACACAAAGAAGTTTCTGAGAATGCTTCTGTCTAGTTTTTATGTGAAGATATTTGCTTTTACACCATAGGCCTCAAACTGCTCCAAATATCCACTTGTGGATTCTACAAAAAGACTTTTTCAAAACTGCTCAATCAAAGGAAAGGTTCAACTCTGTGAGTTGAATGCACACAACACAAACAAGTTTCTGAGAATGCTGCTGTCTAGATTTCATGTGCGGATATTTCGTTTTCCACCATAGGCATCAAAGCGCTCCAAATATCCAACCGCAGATTGTACAAAAATAGTGTTTCAAAACTGCTCTATCAAAAAAAAAGTTTCAACACTGTGAGTTGAATGCACACATCACAAAGAAGTTTCTGAGAATGCTTCTGGTCTAGTTTTTTTTGTGAAGGTGTTTCCTTTTCCACCAGAGGCCTCAAAGCACTCCAAATATCCACTTTCAGATTCTAGAAAAAGAGTGATTTAAAACTGCTCTATCAACAGAAAGGTTCGACTCTGTGAGTTGAATGCACTTATCACAAAGAAGTTTCTGAGAATGCTTCTGTCTAGTTTTTATGTGAAGATATTTCCTTTTCCACCATAAGCCTCAAAGCGCTCCAAATATCTACTTACAGATTCTACAAAAAGAGTTTCAAAACTGCTCTACAAAAGAAAGTTTCAACTCTGCGAGTTGAATTCACACATCACAAAGAAGTTTCAGAGAATGCTTCTGTCTAGTTTTTATGTGAAGGTATTTCCTTTTACACCATAGGCCTCAAACCGCTCCAAATATCCACTTGCAGATTCTGCAAAAAGACTTTTTCAAAACTGCTCAATCAAAGGAAAGGTCAACTCTGTGAGTTGAATGCACACAACACAAACAAGTTTCTGAGAATGCTGCTGTCTAGTTTTTATGTGCGGATATTTCCTTTTCCACCATAGGCATCAAAGCGCTCCAAATATCCAACTGCAGATTCTACAAAAAGAGTGTTTCAAAACTGCTCTATCAAAGAAAGGTTCAACTCTGTGAGTTGAATGCACACATCACAAAGACGTTTCTGAGAATGCTTCTGCTCTAGTTTTTTTGTGAAGGTGTTTCCTTTTCCACCATAGGCCTCAAAGCGCTCCAAATATCCACTTGCAGATTCTTCAGAAAGAGTGTTTCAAAACTGCTCAATCATAGGAAAAGTTCAACTCTGTGAGTTGAATGCACACAACACAAAGAAGTTTCTGAGAATGCTTCTGTCTAGTTTTTATGTGAAGATATTTCCTTTTACACCATAGGCCTCAAACTGCTCCAAATATCCACTTGTGGATTCTACAAAAAGACTTTTTCAAAACTGCTCAATCAAAGGAAAGGTTCAACTCTGTGAGTTGAATGCACACAACACAAACAAGTTTCTGAGAATGCTGCTGTCTAGATTTTATGTGCGGATATTTCGTTTTCCACCATAGGCATCAAAGCGCTCCAAATATCCAACCGCAGATTGTACAAAAATAGTGTTTCAAAACTGCTCTATCAAAAAAAAAGGTTCAACTCTGTGAGTTGAATGCACACATCACAAAGAAGTTCCTGAGAATGCTTCTGCTCTAGTTTTTTTTTGTGATGGTGTTTCCTTTTCCACCATAGGCCTCAAAGCGCTCCAAATATCCACTTTCAGATTCCTGAAAAAGAGTGTTTTAAAACTCCTCTATCAACATAAATGTTCAACTCTGTGAGTTGAATGCACTCATCACAAAGATATTTCTGAGAATGCTTCCGCCTAGTTTTTATGTGTAGGTATTTCCTTTTCCACCATAGGCCTCAAAGCACTCCAAATATCGACTTTCAGATTCTAGAAAAACAGTGATTTAAAACTGCTCTATCAACAGAAAGGTTCGACTCTCTGAGTTGAATGCACTTATCACAAAGAAGTTTCTGAGAATGCTTCTGTCTAGTTTTTATGTGAAGATATTTGCTTTTCCACCATACGCCTCAAAGCGCTCCAAATATCTACTTACAGATTCTACAAAAAGAGTTTCAAAACTGCTCTACAAAAGAAAGGTTCAACTCTGCGAGTTGAATTCACACATCACAAAGAAGTTTCAGAGAATGCTTCTGTCTAGTTTTTATGTGAAGATATTTCATTTTACACCATAGGCCTCAAACCGCTCAAAATATCCACTTGCAGATTCTGCAAAAAGACTTTTTCAAAACTGCTCAATCAAAGGAAACGTCAACTCTGTGAGTTGAATGCCCACAACACAAACAAGTTTCTGAGAATGCTGCTGTCTAGTTTTTATGTGCGGATATTTCCTTTTCCACCATAGGCATCAAAGCGCTCCAAATATCCAACTGCAGATTCTACAAAAAGAGTGTTTCAAAACTGCTCTATCAAAGAAAGGTTCAACTCTGTGAGTTGAATGCACACATCCCAAAGACCTTTCTGATAATGCTTCTGCTCTATTTTTTTTGTGAAGGTGTTTCCTTTTCCACCATATGCCTCAAAGCACTCCAAATATCCACTTGCAGATTCTTCCTAACGAGTGTTTCAAAACTGCTCAATCATAGGAAAAGTTCAACTCTGTGAGTTGAATGCACACAACACAAAGAACTTTCGGAGAATGCTTCTGTCTAGTTTTTATGTGAAGATATTTCCTTTTACAACAAAGGCCTCAAACAGCGCCAAATATCCACTTGCGGATTCAACAAAAAGACTTTTTCCAAACTGCTCAATCAAAGGAAAGGGTCAACTCTGTGAGTTGAATGCCCACAACACAAACAAGTTTCTGAGAATGCTGCTGTCTAAATTTTATGTGCGGATATTTCCTTTTCTACCATAGGCATCAAAGCGCTCAAAATATCCAACTGCAGATTCTACAATAAGAGTGTTTCAAAACTGCTCTATCAAAGAAAGTTTCAACTCTGTGAGTTGAATGCACACATCATAAAGACGTTTCTGAGAATGCTTCTGCTCTAGTTTTTTTGTGAAGATGTTTCCTTTTCCACCATAGGCCTCAAAGCGCTCCAAATATCCACTTGCAGATTCTCCAGGAAGAGTGTTTCAAAACTGCTCAATCATAGGAAAAGCTCAACTCTGTGAGTTGAATGCACACAACAGAAAGAAGTTTCTGAGAATGCTTCTGTCTAGTTTTTATATGAAGATATTTCCTTTTACACCATAGGCCTCAAACTGCTCCAAATATCCACTTGTGGATTCTACAAAAAGACTTTTTCAAAACTGCTCAATCAAAGGAAAGGTTCAACTCTGTGAGTTGAATGCACACATCACAAAAAAGTTTCAGAGAATGCTTCTGTCTAGTTTTTATGTGAAGATATTTCCTTTTACACCATAGGCCTCAAACCGCTCCAAATATCCACTTGCAGATTCTGCAAAAAGACTTTTTCAAAACTGCTCAATCAAAGGAAAGGTCAACTCTGTGAGTTGAATGCACACAACACAAACAAGTTTCTGAGAATGCTGCTGTCTTGTTTTTATGTGCGGATATTTCCTTTTCCACCGTAGGCATCAAAGCGCTCCAAATATCCAACTGCAGATTCTACAAAAAGAGTGTTTCAAAACTGCTCTATCAAAGAAAGGTTCAACTCTGTGAGTTGAATGCACACATCACAAAGACGTTTCTGAGAATGCTTCTGCTCTAGTTTTTTTGTGAAGGTGTTTCCTTTTCCACCATAGGCTTCAAAGCGCTCCAAATATCCACTTGCAGATTCTTCAGAAAGAGTGTTTCAAAACTGCTCAATCATAGGAAAAGTTCAACTCTGTGAGTTGAATGCACACAACACAAAGAAGTTTCTGAGAATGCTTCTGTCTAGTTTTTATGTGAAGATATTTCCTTTTCTACCATATACCTCAAAGTGCTCCAAATGTCCACTTGCAGATTCTACAAAAAGACTTTTTCAAAACTGCTCAATCAAAGGAAAGGTTCAACTCTGTGAGTTGAATGCACACAACACAAACAAGTTTCTGAGAATGCTGCTGTCTAGATTTTATGTGCGGATATTTCGTTTTCCACCATAGGCATCAAAGCGCTCCAAATATCCAACCGCAGATTGTACAAAAATAGTGTTTCAAAACTGCTCTTTCAAAAAAAAAGGTTCAACTCTGTGAGTTGAATGCACACATCACAAAGAAGTTTCTGAGAATGCTTCTGCTCTAGTTTTTTTTGTGTAGGTGTTTCCTTTTCCACCATAGGCCTCAAAGCGCTCCAAATATCCACTTTCAGATTCCTGAAAAAGAGTGTTTTAAAACTCCTCTATGAACATAAATGTTCAACTCTGTGAGTTGAATGCACTCATCACAAAGATATTTCTGAGAATGCTTCCGCCTAGTTTTTTTGTGTAGGAATTTTCTTTTCCACCATAGGCCTCAAAGCACTCCAAATATCCACTTTCAGATTCTAGAAAAAGAGTGATTTAAAACTGCTCTATCAACAGAAAGGTTCGACTCTCTGAGTTGAATGCACTTATCACAAAGAAGTTTCTGAGAATGCTTCTGTCTAGTTTTAATGTGAAGATATTTCCTTTTCCACCGTAAGCCTCAAAGCGCTCCAAATATCTACTTACAGATTCTACAAAAAGAGTTTCAAAACTGCTCTACAAAAGAAAGGTTCAACTCTGTGAGTTGAATTCACACATCACAAAGAAGTTTCAGAGAATGCTTCTGTCTAGTTTTTATGTGAAGATATTTCCTTTTACACCATAGGCCTCAAACCGCTCCAAATATCCACTTGCAGATTCTGCAAAAAGACTTTTTCAAAACTGCTCAATCAAAGGAAAGGTCAACTCTGTGAGTTGAATGCACACAACACAAACAAGTTTCTGAGAATGCTGCTGTCTAGTTTTTATGTGCGGATATTTCCTTTTCCACCGTAGGCAGCAAAGCGCTCCAAATATCCAACTGCAGATTCTACAAAAAGAGTGTTTCAAAACTGCTCTATCAAAGAAAGGTTCAACTCTGTGAGTTGAATGCACACATCCCAAAGACGTTTCTGAGAATGCTTCTGCTCTAGTTTTTTCGTGAAGGTGTTTCCTTTTCCAGCATAGGCCTCAAAGCGCTCCAAATATCCACTTGCAGATTCTTCAGAAAGAGTGTTTCAAAACTGCTCAATCATAGGAAAAGTTCAACTCTGTGAGTTGAATGCACACAACACAAAGAAGTTTCTGAGAATGCTTCTGTCTAGTTTTTATGTGAAGATATTTCCTTTTCTACCATATACCTCAAAGTGCTCCAAATGTCCACTTGCAGATTCTACAAAAAGAGTGTTTCAAAACTGCTCTATGAAAAAGAAAGTTCATATGTGCCACATTTTCTTAATCCAGTCTATCATTGTTAGACATTTGGTTTAGTTCCAAGTCTTTGCTATTGTGAATAATGCCGCACATATACACCATGGAATACTATGCAGCCGTAAAAAATGATAAGTTCATGTCCTTTGCAGGGACATGGATGAAATTGGAAATCATCATTCTCAGTAAACTATCGCAAGAACAAAAAACCAAACACCGCATATTCTCACTCATAGGTGGGAATTGAACAATGAGATCACATGGACACAGGAAGAGGAATATCACACTCCGGGGACTGTTGTGGGGTCGGGGGAGGGTGTTGGGATAGCATTGGGAGATATACCTAATGTTAGATGACGAGTTATTGGGTGCAGTGCACCAGCATGTCACATGTATTCATATGTAACTAAGCTGCACAATGTGCACATGTACCCCAAAACTTAATGTATAATAAAAAAAAAAGAAGAAAAAAAAAAAGAAGGTTCAACACTCTGAGTTTAATGGACACATAACAAAGAAGTTTCTGAGAATACTTTTTTCTACTCTCTATGTGAAGATATTTCCTTTTCCACCATAGGCCTCCAAACGCTCCAAATATCCACTTGCAGATTCTACAAAAAGACTGTTTCAAAACTGCTCTATGAAGAGGATGGTCCAACCCTGTGACTTGAATGCCACATCACAAAGCAATTTCTGAGAATGCTTCTGTCTAGTTTTTATATGAAGACATTTCCTTTTCTACCATAGGCCTCAAAGGGCTCCATATATCCAGCTGCAGATTCTACAAAAAGAGTGTTTCAAAACTGCTCTATCAAAAGGTTGGTTTAACTCTCTGAATTGAATGCACACATCACAAAGAAGTTTCTGAGAATGCTTCTGTATAATTTTAGTATGAAGATATTTCCTTTTCCACCACAGGCCTCAAAGTGCTCCAATTGTTCACTTGCAGATTCTACAAATAGAGTGTTTCAAAACTGCTCAATCAAAGCAAAATTTCAACTCTGTGAGTTGAATACACACAACACAAAGAAGTTTCTGAGAATGCTTCTGTCTAGTTTTTATGTGAAGAATTTCCCGTTTCCACCGAAGGCCTCAAAGAGCTCTACATATACATTTGCAGATTCTACAAAAAGAATGTTTCAAAACTTCTCTGTGTAAGGGAATATTCGACTCTGCGAGTTGAATGCAAATATCACAAAGAAGTTTCTCAGAATGCTTCTGTCTAGTTTTTATGTGAAGATGTTCCTTTTTCCACCATAGGCCTCAAAGGGCTCCATTTGTCCACGTGCAGATTCTACAAAAAGAGAGTTTCAAAGCGCCACAATCAAAGGAAAGTTTTAACTCTGTGAGATGAATGCACACATCACAAAGAAGTTTCTCAGATTGCTTTTGTCTAGATTTTATGTGAAAATAATTCCTTTTCTACCACAGGCCCCAAAGCATTCCAAGTGTCCACTTACAGTTTCTAGAAAAAGAGTTTTTCCAAACTGCTCAATGAAAAGAAAGGTTCAACTCTGTTAGATGAATGCACACATCACAAAGAAGTTTCTCAGAATTCTTCTGTCTAGTTTTTACGTGAAGATACTTCCTTTTCCACCATAAGCCTTTAACCGCCCCAAAAGTCCACGTGCAGATTCTACAAAAAGAGAGTTTAAAAACTGCTCAATCAGAAGAAAGTTTTAACTCTGTGAGATGAATGCACACATCACAAAGTAGTTTCTCAGATGGCTTCTGTCTAGATTTTATGTGAAGATATTTCCTTTTCTGCCATAGGCCACAAAGGGCTCCAAATGTCCACTTGCATATTCTACAAAAAGAATGTTTCCAAACTGTTCAATCAAAAGAAAGGTTCAACTCTGAGAGATAAACGGATACGTCACATAGAATTTCTCAGAATTTTTCTGCCTACTTTTTATGTGAAGATATTTCCTTTTCTGCCATTGGCCTCAAAGCGCTCCAAATGTCCACTTGCAAATTCTACAAAAAGAGAGTTTCAAAACTGCTCAATCAAAAGAAAGGTTTAACTCCGTCACATGAATGCACACATCACAAAGAAGTTTCTCAGATTGTTTCTGTCTAGATTTTATGAGAATATAGTTCCCCTTCTAACATAAGCCGTAAAGTGCTACAAATGTTCACTTGCACAATCTACAAAAAGAGTGTTTTAAAACTGCTCAATCAAAAGAAAGTTTCAACTCTGTGAGATTAACACATCACAAAGAGTTTTCTCAGAATTCTTCTGTCTAGTTTTTATGTGAAGATATTTCCTTTTCCACCATAGGCCTCAAGGTGCTCAAAATGTCCACTTCAGATTCTACAAAAAGCGTATTTTTAAACTGGTCCTTCAAAAGAAAGGTCCAACTCAGGGAGATGAATGCACCAGTCTGAAAGAAGTTTCTCAGAATGCTTCTATCTAGTTTTTATGTGAAGATATTTCCTTTTCCACCATAGGAGTCAAAGCGCTCCAAATGTCGCATTGCAGATTCTACAAAAATAGATTTTCAAAACAGCTCAATCAAAAGAAAGTTTTAACTCCGTGAGATGAATGCACACATCACAAAGAAGTTTCTAATATTGCTTCTGTCTAGATTTTATGTGAAGATATTTCCTTTTCTGCCATAGGCTGCAAAGCGCTCCAAATATCCTTTTGCTGATTCTCCAAAAAGATTGTTTCCAATCTGCTCCATCAAAAGAAAAGTTCATCTCTGTGAGATGAACGCACCCATCACCAAGAAGTTTCTCAGAATTTTTCTGCCTAGTTTTTATGTGAGGATATTTCCTTTTCCACCACAGACCTCAAAATGCTCCAAATATCCACTTGAAGATTCTACAAAAAGAGTATTTCAAAACTGGTCCTTCAAGGAAAGGTTCAACTCAGGGAGATGAATGCATACATCAGAAAGAAGTTTCTCAGAATGCTTCTCTCTAATTTTTATGTGAAGTTATTTCCTTTTCCACCACAGGCCTCAAAGCGCTCCAAATGTCCACTTGCAGATTCTACAAAAAGACAGTTTCAAAACTCCTCAATCAAAAGAAAGGTTTAACTCTGTGAGATAAATGCACACATCACAAAGAAGTTTCTCAGACTTCTTCGGTCTAGATTTTTTGTGAAGATATTTCCTTTTCTGCCATTGGCCGAAAAGCGCTCCCAACGTCCATTTGCAGACTCTACAAAAAGAGTGTTTCCATTCTGCTCTATCAAAAGAAGGGTTCAACTCTGTGAGATGAACGCACGTATCACAACGAAGTTTCTCAGAATTCTTCTCTCTTGTTTTTATGTGAAGATATTTCCTTTTCCAACAGAGGCCTCAAAGTGCTCCAAAAGTCCACTTGCAGATTCTACAAAAAGAGAGTTTGAAAACTCCTCTATCAAAAGAAAGGTTTAACTCTGTGAGAGGAATACACACATCACAAAGAAGTTTCTCAGATTGCTTCTGTCTAGATTTTATGTGAATATATTTCCTTTTCTGCTATGGAACGCAAAGCGCTCCAAATGTCCACTTTCATATTCTACAAAAAGAGTGTTTCCAAACTGCTCAATCAAAAGAAAGGTTCAACTCTGTGAGATGAATGCACGCATCACAAAGAAGTTTCTCAGAATTCTTCTGTCTAGTGTTTATGTGAAGATATTACCTTTTTTAATATACCCCTCAAAGCGCTCCAAATGTCCACTTGCATATTCTACAAAAAGAGATTTTCAAAACTGCTCATGAAAAGAAAGGTTCAACTCTGTGAGATGAACGCAAGCATCACAAAGAAGTTTCTCTGAATTCTTCTGTCCTGTTTTTATGTGAAGATATTTCCTTTTTCACCATAGGCCTCAAATCGCTCCCAATATCCAGTTGCAGATTCTACAAAAAGAGAGTTTCAAAATTGCTCAATAAAAAGAAAGGTTTAACTCCGTTAGATGAATGCACACATCAGAAAGAAGTTTCTCAGATTACTTCTGTCTAGACTTTATGTGAAGATATTTCATTTTCTACCACAGGCCGCAAAGCTCTCCAAATGTCTATTTGCAGAATCTTCAAAAAGAGAGTTTCAGAACTGCTCAATCAAACGAAAATGTTAACTCTGTGAGATGATCGCACACATTACAATGAAGTTTTTCAGAATTCTTCTGTCTAGTTTTTATGTGAAGATATTTCCATTTCCAGCATAGGCCTCAAGGCACTCGAAATGTCCACTTGCAGATCCCACAAAAGGTGTATTTCAAAACTGGTCCATCGAAAGAAAGGTCTAACACTGGGAGATGAATGCACACATAACAAAGAAGTTTCTCAGAATGCTTCTGTCTAGTTTTTATGTGAATATATTTCCTTTTCTACCAAAGGCTGCAAAGCCCTCCAAATGTCCACTTGCAGATTCTACAAAAAGAGTGTTTCCAAACTGCTTAATCAAAAGAAAAGTTCAACTCTGTGAGAGGAACACAAGCATCACAGAGAAGTTTTTCCAAATTCCTCTGTCTAGTTTTTATATGAAGATATTTCCTTTTCTACCATATACCTCCAAGCGCTCCAAATGTCCACTCGCAGATTCTACAAACAGAGAGTTTCAAGACTGCTCAATCACAAGAAAGGTTTAATTCTGTGAGATTAATGCACACTTAACAAAGAAGTTTCTCAGATTGCTTCTATCTAGATTTTATATGAAGATATTTCCTTTTTTAACATAGGCCGCAAAGCACTCCAATTGTCCACTTGCGGATTCTACAAAAAGTGAGTTTCAAAACTGCTCAATCAAAACACAGGTTTAACTCGGTGAGATGATTGCACACATCACAAAGAATTTTTTCATATTGCTTCTGTCTAGATTTTATGTGAAGATATTTACTATTCTCCCCTAGGCCACACAGCACCCCAAATGTCCAATTGCAGATTCTACAAAAACAGTGTTTCCAAACTGCTCAATCAAAAGAAAGGTTCAACTCTGTGAGATGAACGTACACATCACAAAGGAGTTTCTTAGAATTCTTCTGTCTAGTTTTTATGTGAAGATATTTCTTTTTCCACCATAGGCCTCAAAGCGCTCCAAATGTCCACTTGCAGATTCTACAAAAACAGAGTTTCAAAACTGCTCTCTCAAAAGAAAGGTTTAACTCTGTGAGATGAATAAACACTTCACGAAGAAGTTTCTCAGATTGTTTCTGTCTAGATTTTATCTGAAGATATTTCCTTTTCTACCATAGGCCGTAAAGCGGTCCAAATGTCCACTTACAGATTTTACAAAAAAGTGTTCCCATACTGCTCAATCAAAAGAAAATTTCAACTCTGTGAGATGAAGACACACATCACAAAGAAGTTTCTCAGAATTCTTCTGTCTAGTTTTTATTTGAAGATATTTCCTTTTGACTGTAGTCCTCAAAGCATTCCAAATGTCCACTTCACATTCTACAAAATGAGAGATTAAAAACTGCTCAATCAAAGGAAAGGTTTAATTCTGTGAGATGAAAGCACACATCACAAAGAAGTTTCTCTGATAGCTTCTGTCTAGGTTTTATGTGAAGAAATTTCCTTTTCTACCATAGGCCGCAAAGAGCTCCAAATGTCCACTTGCAGATTGTATAAAAAGAGTATTTCCAAAGTGCTCAATCAAATGAAAGATTCAACTCTGTGAAATGAACCCGCATATCACAAAGAAGTTTATCAGAATTCTTCTGTCTAGTTTTTATGTGAAGATATTTCCATTTCCACCATAGGCCTCAAAGCGCTATAAATGTCCACTTGCAGATTCCACAAAAAGAGAGTTTAAAAACTGCTCAATCAAAAGACAGTTTTAACTCTGTGAGATGAATGCACACATCACAAAGAAGTTTCTCAGATTGCTTCTTTCTAGATTTTATGTAAAGATATTTCCTTTTCTACCATAGGCTGCAAAGCGCTCCAAATGTACACTTGCAGATTGTAGAAAAAGAGTCTTTACAAACTGCTATATCAAAAGGAATGTTCAACTCTGTGAGATTAATGCACGCATCACAAAGAAGTTTCCCAGAATTCTTCCTTCTAGTTTTTATGTTAAGATATTTCATTTTCCACTGTAGGCCTCAGAACGCTCCAAATGTCTACTTGCAGATTCTACACAAAGAAATTTTCAAAACTGCTCAATGAAAAGAAAGTTTAACTCTGTGAGATGAATGTACACATCACAAAGAAGTTTCTCAGATTGCTTCTGCCTAGATTTTATGTGAAGATCCTTCATTTTCTACCATAGGCCACAAAGCGCTGCATATGTCCACTTGCAGATACTACAAAAAGAGTGTTTCCAAACTGCTCAATCAAAAGAAAGGTTCACCTCTCTGAGATGAACCCACACATCACAAAGAAGTTTCTCAGGATTCTTCTTTCTAGTTTTCATGTGAAGATATTTCCTTTTCCACCATAAGCCTCAAGGCACTCGAAATGTCCAATTGCAGATCCTACAAAAAGAGAGTTTCAAAACTGCTCAATCAAAAGAAAGGTTTAACTCTGGGAGATGAAAGCACACATCACAAAGGAGTTTCTCAGATTGCTTCTCTCTAGATTTTATGTCAAGATATTTCCTTTTCTACCATGGGCCGCAAAGCACTCCAAATGTCCACTTACATATTCTACAAAAAGAGTGTTTTCAAACTGCTCAATGAAAAGAAAGTTTCAACTCTGTGAGATGAACGCACAGACCACAAAGAGGTTTCTCAGAAATTTTCTGTCTCCAACCAAAAAAGAGAATTTTAGACCAATAACCTTGATGAACATTGATGCAAAAATCCTCAATAAAATACTGGCAAACTGAATCCAGCAGCACATCAAAAAGCTTATCCAACATGATCAAGTGGGCTTCACCCATGGGATGCAAGGCTGGTTCCATATAGGTAAATCAATAAATGTAATCCAGCATATAAACAGAACCAAAGATCAAAACCACATGATTATCACAATAGATGCAGAAAAGGCCTTTGACAAATTCAACAACCCTTCATGCTAAAAACTCTCAATAAATTAGGTATTGATGGGACGTATTTCAAAATAATAAGAGCTATCTATGACAAACCCACAGCCAATATCATACTGAATGGGCAAAAACTGGAAGCATTCCCTTTGAAAACTGGCACAAGAGAGGGATGCACTCTCTCACCACTCCTATTCAACATAGGGTTGGAAGTTCTGGCCAGGGCAATTAGGTAGGAGAAGGAAATAAATTGTATGCAATTAGGAAAAGAGGAAGTCAAATTGTCCCTTTTTGCAGACGACATGATTGTATATCTAGAAAACCCCATTGTCTCAGCCCAAAATCTCCTTAAGCGATAAGCAACTTCAGCAAAGTCTCAGGATACAAAATCAATGTACAAAAATCACAAGCATTCTTATACAACAAAAACAGACAAACAGAGAGCCAAATCATGAGTGACCTCCCGTTCACAATTGCTTCAAATAGAATAAAATACCTAGGAATCCAACTTACAAGGGATGTGAAGGACCTCTTCAAGGAGAACTACAAATCATCGCTCAAGGAAATAAAAGAGGATACAAACAAATGGCAGAACATTCCATGCTCATGGGTAGGAAGAATCAATATCGTGAAAATGGCCATACTGCCCAAGGTAATTTACAGATTCAATGCCATCCCCATCAAGCTACCAATCACTTTCTTCACAGAATTGGAAAAAACTACTTTAAAGTTCATATGGAACCAAAAAAGAGCCCGCATTGCCAAGTCAATCCTAAGCCAAAAGAACAAAGCTGGAGGCATCACATTACCTGACTTCAAACTATACTACAATGCTACAGTAACCAAAACAGCATGGTACTGATACCAAAACAGAGATATAGATCAATGGAACAGAACAGAGCCCTCAGAAATAATGCCGCATATCTACAACTATCTGATCTTTGACAAACCTGAGAAAAACAAGCAATGGGGAAAAGATTCCCTATTTAATAAATGCTGCTGGGAAAACTGGCTGGCCAAATGTAGAAAGCTGAAACTGGATCCCTTCCTTACACCTTATACAAAAATCAATTCAAGATGGATTAAAGACTTAAATGTTAGACCTAAAACCATAAAAACCCTAGAAGAAAACCTAGGCATTACCATTCAGGACATAGGCATGGGCAAGGACTTCATGTCTAAAACACCAAAAACAATGGCAACAAAAGACAAAATTGACAAATGGGATCTAATTAAACTAAAGAGCTTCTGCACAGCAAAAGAAACTACCATCAGAGTGAACAGGCAACCTACAAAATGGGAGAAAATTTTCGCAACCTACTCATCTGACAAAGGGCTAATATCCAGAATCTACAATGAACTCAAACAAATTTACAAGAAAAAAACAAACAACCCCATCAAAAAGTGGGTGAAGGACATGAACAGACACTTCTCAAAAGAAGACATTTATGCAGCCAAAAAACACATGAAAAAGTGCTCACCATCATGGGCCATCGGAGCAATGCAAATCAAAACCACAATGAGATACCGTCTCACACCAGTTAGAATGGCAATCATTAAAAAGTAAGGAAACAACAGGTGCTGTAGAGGATGTGGAGAAATAGGAACACTTTTACACTGTTGATGGGACTGTAAACTAGTTCAACCATTGTGGAAGTCAGTGTGGCGATTCCTCAGGGATCTAGAACTAGAAATACCATTTGACCCAGCCATCCCATTACTGGGTATATACTCAAAGGACTATAAATCATGCTGCTATAAAGACACATGCACATGTATGTTTTTTGTGGCATTATTCACAGTAGCAAAGACTTGGAACCAACACAAATGTCCAACAATGATAGACTGGATTAAAACATGTGGTACATATACACCATGGAATATTAAGCAGCCATAAAAAATGATGAGTTCATGTCCTTTGTAGGGACATGGATGAAATTGAAAATCATCATTCTCAGTAAACTATCGCAAGATCAAAAAACTAAACACCACGTATTCTCACTCATAGGTGGGAATTGAACAATGAGAACACATGGACACAGGAAGGGGAACATCACACACTGGGGCCTGTTGTGGGATGAGGGGGGAGGGATAGCATTGGGAGATATAACTAATGCTAGATGATGAGTTAGTGGGTGCAGCGCACCAGCATGGCACATGTATACATATGTAAATAACCTGCCCATTGTGCACATGTACCCTAAAACTTAAAGTATAATAATAAAAAAATAAAAAAATAATAAAAAAATAAAAAAAGAAATATTCTGTCTAGTTTTTATGTGAAGATATTTCCTTTTCCACCATAGGCCTCAAGGTGCTCTAAATGTTCAATGGCACATTCTACAGAAAGCATATGTCAAAACTGGTCCTTCAAAAGAAATGTTCAACTCTGGGAGATGAATGCACACATCAAATTGTAGTTTCTCAGAATACTTCTATCTCGTTTTTATGTGAAGATATTCCCTTTGCAACCATAGATATCAAAGTGCTCCAATTGTCCACTTGCACATTCTACAAAAAGTGGGTTTCAATACTGCTCAATCAAAAGAAAGGTTTAACTCTGTGAGATGAATGCACACATCACAAAGAAGTTTCTCAGATTTCTTTTGTCTAGATTTTATGTGAAGATATTCCCTTTTCTACCATAGTCCACAAAGTGCTCCGAATATCCACTTGCAGATTCTACAAAAAGAGTGTTTGCAAACTGCTCAATCAAAAGAAAGGTTCAACTCTGTGAGATGAATGCACACATCACAAAGAAATTTCTCAGAATCTTTCTGTCTAGTTTTTATGTGAAGATATTTCCTTTTCCAACATAGGCCTCAAAGCGCTCAAAATGTCCACTTGCAGACTCTACAAAAACAGAGTTTCAAAACTGCTCAACCAAAAGAAAGATATAACTCTGTGAGGTGAATGCACACATCAAAAAGAAGTTTCTCAGAATGCTTCTCTCTCGTTTTAATGTGAAGATATTTCCTTTTCCACCATAGAAGTCAAAGCACTCCAAATGTCCACTTGCAGTTTCCACAAAAAGAGAGTATCAAAACTGCTCAATCAAAAGAAAGGTTAAACTCTGTGAGATGAATGCACGCATTACAAAGTAGTTCCTCAGAAAGCTTCTGTTTAGTTTTTATGTGAAGATATTTGCTTTTTCACCATAGGCCTCAATGCGCTCCAATTATCCATTTGCAGATTCTGCAAAAAGAGTGTTTCCAAACTGCTCAGTCAAAATAAATGCTCAACTCTTTGAGATGAAAGCACTCATTTAAAAGAAGTTTCTCAGAAAGCTTCTGTCTAGCTTTTATGTGAAGATATTTCCTACATCACTAAAGGCCTCAATGGACTCAGAATTATCCCTTTGGGGATTCTACAAAGGAGTGTTTCCAAACTGCTCTAGCAAAAGAAAGCTTCAACTCTGTGAGATGAATGCACCCATCACAAGAAACTTTCTCAGAATGTTTCTGTGTAGTTTTTATATGAAGATATTTCCTACTTCACCATAGGCCTAAAAGGGTTCACAATTATACCTTTGTAGACTTTACATAAAGACTGTTTCCAAATCTCCAATCAAAGAAATGTTCAACTGTGTGAGATGAATGCAAACTTCACAAAGAAGTTTTTCAGAATGCTTCCATCTAATTTTTATGTGAAGATATTTCCTTTTTCACCATAGGCCTCAAAGAGCACCAAATATCCATTTGCAGGTTGTACAAAAAGACTGTTTCCAATCTGCTCAATTGAAGGAAATGTTCAACTCTGTGAGATGAAATCACATATCACAGAGAAGCTTCTCAGAAAGCTACTGTTTAGTTTTTATGTGAAGATATTTCCTATTTAAACATAGGCCATAAAGGGATCACAATTATACATTTGCAGATGCTACAAAAATACTGTTACCAAACTGCTCAATCAAAAGAAAATTTCAACTCCACGAGATGAATGGACGCATCACAAAGTAGTTTCTAAGAATGCTTCTCTCTAGTTTTTATGTGAAGATATTTCCTATTTAACCATAGACCATAAAGGGATCACAAATATACCTTTGCAGATGCTACAAAAATACTGTTACCAAACTGCTCAATCAAAAGAAAGTTTCAACTCCATGAGATGAATGGACACATCACAAAGTAGTTTCTAAAAATGCTTCTCTCTAGTTTTTATGTGAAGATATTTCCTTTTCCACAATAGGCCTCAGAGGGCTCCAAATACCCACTTGCAGATTCTACAAAATGAGTGTTTCAAAACTGCTCTATCAAAAGAAAAGTTCAACTCTGTGAGATGAATGCACACATTGGATAGAAGTTTCTCAGAATTCTTCTTTCTAGTTTTTATGTGGAGATATTTCCTTTTCCACCATAGGCCTCAAAGTGGCACAAATGTCCACTTGCACATTCTACAAAAAGAGAGTTACAAAACTCCTCAATCAAAAGAAAGGCTTAACTCTGTGAGAAGAATGCACAGATTACAAAGAAGTTTCTCAGATTGCTTCTGTCTAGATATTATGTGAAGATATTTTCTTTTCTACCATAGGCCACAAAGCACCTCAAATGTCCACTTGCACATTCTACAAAAAGAGAGTTTAAAAACTGCTCAATCAAAAGAAAGGTTTAACTCTGTGAGATGAGTGCACACATCAAAAAGAAGTTTCTCAATTGCTTATGTCTAGATTTTAAGTGAAGATATTTCCTTTTCTACCATAGACCTCTGTGAGATGAACCCACGCATCACAAAGAAGGTTCTCAAAATCCTTCTGTCTAGTTTTTATGTGAAGATATTTCCTTCTCCACGATAGGCCCCAAAGCGCTCCAAATGTCCACTTGCAGATTCTACAAAAAGAGAGCTATAAAACTCCTCAATCAAAAGAAAGGTTTAACACTGTGAGATGAATGCACACATCAGAAAGTAGTTTCTCAGTTTGCTTTTCTCTAGATTTTATGTAAAGATATTACCTTTTCTACCATAGACCACAAAGCGCTCCAAATGTCCACTTGCAGATTCTACAAACAGAGTGTTTCCAAACTGCTCAATCAAAAGAAAGGTTCAACTCTGTGAAATGAATGCCCATATAACAAAGAAGTTTCTCAGAATTCTTCTGTCTACTTTTTATGTGAAGATATTTCCTTTTCCACCATAGGCCTCAAAGCTTTCCAAACGTCCACTAGCAGATTCCACAAAAAGTGAGTTTCAAAACTACTCAATCAAAAGAAAGGTTTAATTCTGTGGGATGAAGGCACACATCACAAAGAAGTTTTTCAGATTGCTTCTCTCCAGATTTTATGCGAAGATATTTCCTTTTCTATCGTAGGCCGCAAAGCACTCCAAATGCCCACTTGCAGATCCTACAAAAAGAGTGTTTCCAAACTGCTCAATCAAAAGAAAGCTTCAACTCTGTGAGATGAATGCACACTTCTCAAAGAAGTTTCCCAGAATTCTTCTGTCTAGTTTTTATGTGAATATATTTTCTTTTCCACCACAGGAATAAATGCGCTCCAAATGTTCACTTGAAGATTTAACAAAAAGACAGTTTCAAAACTGCTCAATCAAAAGAAAGTTTTAACTCTGGGAGATGAATGCACACATCACAAAGAAGGTTCCCAGATTGCTTCTGTCTGGATTTTATGTGAGGATATTTCCTTTTCAACCATAGGCCTCAAAGGACGCCAAATGTCAACCTGCAGATTCCATCAAAAGGGTGTTTCCATACTGCTCAAACAAAAGAAAGGTTCAACTCTGTGAGATGAATGGACACATCACAAAGAAGTTTCTCAGAATTCTTCTGTCTAGTTTTTATGTGAAGTTATTTCCTTTTCTACCATTGGCCTCAAAGCACTCCAAATGTCCACTTACAGATACTACAAAAAGAGATTTTCAAAACTGTTCAATCAAAAGAAAGCTTTAACTCTGTGAGATGAACGCACACATCAAAAAGAAGTTTCTCAGATTGCTTCTGTCTAGATTTTAAGTGAAGATATTTCCTTTTTCACCATAGGACGCAAAGCGCTCGAAATGTCCATTTGCAGATTATACAAAAAGAGTATTTCAAAACTGGTCCATAAAAAGAAACGTTCAACTCTGGGAGATGAATGCGCGCATCACAAAGCAGTTTCTCAGAATGCTTCTATCTAGTTTTTAAGTGAAGATATTTCCTTTTCCACCATAGACCTCAAAGAGCTCCAAATGTCCACTTGCAGATTCTACAAAAAGAGAGTTTCCAAACTGCTCAATCAAAAGAAAGATTCAACTCTGTGAGAAGAACGTACACATTACAAAGAAGTTTCTCAGAATTCTTCTGTCTAGCTTTTATGTGAAGATATTTCCTTTTCCACAATAGGCCTCAAAGCCCTCCAAATGTCCACTAGCAGATTCTACAAAAAGGGAGTTTCAAAACTCCTCAATCAAAAGAAAGTTTTAACTCTGTGGTATGAATGCACACATCACAAAGAAGTTTCTCAGATTGCTTCTGTCTAGATTTTATGTGAAGTTATTTCCTTTTCTATCATAGGCCGCAAAGCACTCCAAAGACCACTTGCAGATACCACAAAAAGAGTGTTTCCAAACTGCTCAATCAAAAGAAAGTTTCAGCTCTGTGAGATGAATGCACACATCACAAAGAAGTTTCTCAGAATTCTTCTGTCTAGTACTTATGTGAAGATAGTTTCTTTTCCACCACAGGACTAAATGCGCTCCAAATGTCCACTTGCAGATTCTACAAAAAGAGCATTTCAAAACTGCTCTATTGAAAGAAAGGGTTACCTCTGTGAGATGAATGCACACATCACAAAGAAGTTTCTCACATTGCTTCTGTCTAGGTTTTATGTGAAGATATTTCCTTTTCTACCACAGGCTGCAAAGTGCTCCAAATGTCCACTTGCAGAATCTACAAAAATTGTGTTTCCAAACTGCTCAATCAAAAGAAAGGTTCAACTCTGTCAGATGAACTCACACATCATGAAGAAGTTTCTCAGAATTCCTCTGTCTAGTTTTTTGTGAAGATATTTCCTTTTTCACTACAGGCCTCAAAGCGCTCCAAATGTCCTCTTGCAGATTCTATAAAAAGTTTCAAAACTGCTCAATCAAAGAAAGGTTTAACTCTGTGAGATGAATGCATACATCACAAAGAAGTTTCTCAGATTGCTTCTGTCTAGATTTTATGTGAAGATATTTCCTTTTCTACCATAGGCCTCAAAGCCCTCCAAATGTCCACTTGCAGATTCTACAAAAGGAGTGTTTCAAAACTGCTCAATCAAAAGAAATGTTTAATTCTGTGAGATGAATGCACAAATCACAAAGAAGTGTCTCACATTGCTTCTGTCTAGGTTTTATGTGAGGATATTTCCTTTTCTACCACAGGCCGCAAAGCACTCCAAATGTCCACTTGCAGAATCTACAAAAATTGTGTTTCTAAACTGCTCAATCAAAAGAAAGGTTCAACTCTATGAGATGAACGCACACATCACAAAGAAGTTTCTCAGAATTCTTCTGTCTAGTTTTATGTGAAGATATTTCATTTTCCACCATAGGCCTCAAGACTCTCCAAATGTCCACTTACACATTCTACAAAAAGAGTATTTCAAAACTGGTCCATAAAAAGGAAAGTTCAACTCTGTGAGATGAATGCACATGTCAGAAAGAAGGTTGTCAGAATGCTTCTGTCTAGTTTTTATATGAAGATATTTCCTTTTGCAACATAGGCCTAAAACTCTCAAAATCTCCACATGCAGATTCTACAAAAGACAGTTTCAAAACTGCTCCGTCAAAAGGGAGGTTCAATGCTGCAAGATCAATGCACACATCACTAAGAAGTTCGTCAGAATGCTCCTGTCTAGTTTTTATGTGAAGATATTCCTTATTCCACAGTAGTCCACAAGGCGCTCCAAATGTCCACCTGCAGATTCTACAAAAAGAGTGTTTTAAAGCTGCTCAATCAAAAGAAAGGTTCAATACTGTGAGATGAATGCACACATCACAAAGAAGTTTGTAAGAATGGCTCTATCTACTTTCTATGTGAAGATATCTCCTTTTCCACCATTGGCCTCAAGCGCCGCAAATGTCCAATGGCAGATTCTACAAAAAGAGTATTTTAAAGCTGCTAAATCAAAAGAAATGTTCAACTCTGTGTGAGATGAATGCACACATTACAAAGAAGTTTCTCATAATGCTTCTGTCTAGTTATTATATGAAGATATTTCGTTGTCCACCCATAGGCCTCAAAGCTCTCCAAATGTCTACTTGCAGATTCTACAAAAAGAGTGTTTCAAAACTGTTCAATGAAAAGTAAGGTTCAACTCTGTGAGATGAATGCACACATCACAAATAAGTTTCTCAGAATACTTCTGTCTAATTTTTATGTGAAGATATTTCCTTTTCCACTGTAGGCCTCAAAGTGCTCCAAATGTCCACTTGCAGACTCTACAAAAAGAGTGTTTCAAATCTGCTCAATCAAAAGAAAGTTTCAACTCTGTGAGATGAATGCACACGTCACAAGCCAGTTTGTGAGAATGCTTCTGTCCAGTTTTTATGTGAAGATATTTCCTTTTCCACCATAGACCCCAAACCACTCCAAATATCCACTTGCCGATTCTAAAAAAAAAAAAAAAGCTGCTCAATCAAAAGAAAGTTTCAACCTGTGAGCTGAATGCACCCATCACCAAGAAGTTTGTCAGAATGCTTCTGTCCAGTGTTTATGTGAAGGTATTTCCTTTTCCACCATAGGCCTCAAAGAGCACTAAATGTCCCTATGCAGATTCCACAAAAAGAGTGTTCCAAAACTGCTCAGTGAAAAGTAAGCTTCCACTCTGTGAGACGAATCCACACATCACAAAGAAGTTTAACAGAATGCTTCTGTCTAGTTTTTATATGAAGATTTTCCTTTTCCACAATTGGTCTCAAAATGCTCCCAATGTCCACTTGCAGATTCTACAAAATGTGTGTTTCAAAACTTCTCAATGAAAAATAAGTTTCATCTCTGTTAGATGAACGCACACATCACAAAGAAGGTTGTCAGATGCTTCTGTCTAGCTATGTGAAGATATTTCCTTTTCTGACATAGGGCTTAAAACGCTCCAAATGTCCACTTGCAGATTCTACAAAAAGAGTGTTCCCAAACTGCTCAATCCAAAGAAATGTTCAACTGTGTGATATGAATGCACAAATCAAAAAGATGTTTGTGAGAATGCTTCTGTCTTGTTTTTACATGAAAATATTTCCTTTTCCAGCATAGGCCTCGATGCACAACAAATGTCCCCTTGCAGATTCTACAAAAAGAGTGTTTCAAAACTGCTCAATGAAAAGCAAGGTTCAACTCTGTGAGATGAATGCACACATCACAAATTAGTTTGTCAGAATGCTTCTGTCTAGTTTTTATGTGAGGATATTTCCTTTTCCACAACAGATCTCAAAGTGCTCTAAATGTCTACTTGCAGATTCCATAAAACGGGGATTTCAAAACTGCCCAATGAAAAGTAACGTTCAAGTCTGTGAGATGAACACACATATCACAAGGAAGGTTGTCAGAATGCTTCTGTCTAGTTGTGTGAACATATTTCCTTCTCTATCATAGGGCTCAAAGTACTCTAAATGTCCACTTGCAGATCCTACAAAGAGAAATTTTCCAAACTGCTCAATCAAAAGTAATGCTCAACTCTGTGACATGAATGCACACATCAAAAAGAAGTTTCTCAGAATGCTTCTGTCTAGTTTTTATGTGAAAATATTTCCTTTTCCACCATAGGCCCCAAAGGGCTCCAAATGTCCACTTGCAGATTCTACACAAGGAGTGTTTGAAAACTGCTCAATGAAAAGAAAGTTCAACTCTGTGATATGAATGCACATATCAAAAAGAAGTTTGTCATAATGCTTCTGTCTAGTTTTTAAGTGAAGATAGTCCTTTTCCACCATAGCCGTCAAAGCGCTCCAAATGGTCCTTGCAGATTGTACAAAAAGAGTGTTTCAAAGCTCCTCAATCAAAAGAGAGGTTCAACTCTGAGATGAATGCACCCATCAAAAAGAAGTTTTTCAGAAAGCTTCTGTCTAGCTTTTATGTGTAGATATTTTCTCTTAAAACATTGGCCTCAAAGCGCTCCAAATGTCCCCTTGCAGATTCTACAAAAAGAGTGTTTCAAAGCTGCTCAATCAAACGAAATGTTTAGCTCTGTGAGATGAATGCACACATCAAAAAGTAGTTTGTCAGAATGCTTCTGTGTAGGTTTTATGTGAAGATGTTTCCTTTTCCACCATTGGCCTCAAAGCACTCAAAATATCCACTTGCAGATTCTACAAAAAGAGTGTTTCAAAACTGCTCAATCAAAAGTAAGGTTCAACTCTGTGAGAAGAATGCACACATCACAAAGAAGTTGGTCAGAATACGTCTGCCTAGTTTTTATGTGAAGGTATTTCCTTTTCCATCATGGGCCTCAAAGGGCTCCAAATGTCCACTTACGGATTGTACATAAATAGTGTTTGAAAGCTGCTCAATAAAAAGAAAGTTTCTATTTTGTGAGATGAATGCAGACATCACAGAGAAGATTGTCAGAATGATTCTGCCTACTTTTTATATGAAGATATTTCTTTTTCCAGGATTGGACTCAAGTGCTCAAAATGTCCACTTGCAGATTCTACAAAAAGAGTGTTTCAAAGCTGCTCAGTCAGAAGAAAGTTCAACTGTGTTAGATGAATGCACACATCACAAAGTAGTTTGTCAGAATGCTTCTGTATAGTTTTTATGTGAAGATATTTCCTTTTCCACCACAGACCTCAAAGCACTGCAAATGTCCATTTACAGATTCTACAAAAAGAGTGTTTCAAAGCTGCTCAGTCAGAAGAAAGTTCAACTCTGTGAGAAGAATGCACACATCACAAAGAAGTTTGTCAGAATGCTTCTGTCTAGTGTTTATGTGAAGATATTTCCTTTTCCAATATAGGCCTCAAAGGGCTCCAAAAGTCCACTTGCAGATTCTAGAAAAAGAGTGTTTCAAAACTGCTTAATGAAAGTAAGTTTCTACTCTGTGAGATGAATGCACACATCACAATGTTTGTTGTCAGAATGCTGCTGTCTAGTTTTTATGTGAAGATGTTTCCTTTTCAACCATAGACCTCAAAGCGCTCCGAATGTGCACTTACAGATTCTACAAAAAGAGTGTTTCAAAGCTGCTCAATCAAAAGAAAGGTTCAACTCTGTGAGATGAATGCACACATAACAAAGAAGTTTGTCAGTGCTTCTGTCTAGTTTTTTGTGAAGATATTTCGCTTTCCAGCATTGGCCGCAAAGTGCTCCAAATGTCCACTTGCAGATTCTACAAAAAGAGTGTTTCAAAGCTGCTTAATGAAAAGCAAGGTTCAAATCTGTGAGGTGAATGCCCACATCACAAAGAAGTTTGTCAGAAGGCTTCTGTCTAGTTTTTAAGTGAAGATACTTCCTTTTCCACTTTTGGCCCCAAAGCGCTGCAAATGTCCACTTGCAGATTCTACAAAAAGAGTGTTTCAAAGCTGCTCAATGAAAAGAAAGATTCAACTCTGTGAGATGAATGCACACATCACAAAGAAGTTTGTCAGAATGTGTATTTCTGGTTTTTATTTGATGATATGTCCTTTTCCACAATAGGCCACAAATCGCTCCAAATGTCCACTTGCAGATTCAACAAAAAGAATGTTTCCAAGCTGTTCCATGAAAAGAAATGTTCAACTTTGTGAGCTGAATGCACACATCACAAAGAAGTTTGTCAGAAAGCTTCTGTCTAGTTTTTATATGAAGATATTTCCTTTTCCACGATGGGCCTCAAAGTGCTCCACATGTCCACTTGCAGATTCTACAAAAAGAGTGTTTCAAAGCTGCTCATTCCAAAGAAAGGTTCAACTCTGTGTGAGATGAATGCACACATCACAAAGAAGTTTCTCATAATGCTTCTGTCTAGTTATTGTATGAAGATATTTTGTTGTCCACCCATAGGCCTCAAAGCTCTCCAATGTCCACTTGCAAATTCTACAAAAAGAGTGTTTCAAAACTTCTCCATCGAAAGTAAGGTTCAGCACTTTGAGATGAATGCACACATCACAAAAAAGTTTTTCTGAATGCTTATGTCTAGTTTTTATGTGAGGATATTTCCATTTCCACCATAAGCCTCAAAGCGCTCAAATTGTCCACTTGCAGCTTCTACAAAAAGAAAGTTTCAAAGCTGCTCAATCAAAAGAAAGTTTCATCTCTGTGAGATGAATGCACACATCAAAAGAAGTTTGTCAGAATGCTTCTGTCTCGTTTTTATGCGAAGATATTTCCTTTTCCATCATAAACCTCAAAGTGCTCTAAATATCCAATTGCAGATTCTACAAAAAGAGTGTTTCAAAACTGCTCAATGAAAAGTAAGGTTCAACTCTGTGAGATCAATGCACATATCACAAAGAAAATTGTCAGAATGCATCTGTCTGGTTTTTATGTGAAGATATTTAATTTCCCACCATGGGCCTCAAAACGCTCCAAATGTCCACTTGCAGATACTTCAAAAAGAGTGTTTCAAAACTGCTCAATCGAAAGCAAGTTTCAACACTGTGAGATGAATGCACACATCACAAAGAAGTTTGTCAGAATGCTTCTTTCTAGTTTTTATGTGAAGATATTTCCTTTTCCACCATAGTTCTCAACGCGCTCCAAATGTCCACTTGCAGATTCTACAAAAAGAGGGTTTAAAAGCTGCTCAATCAAAAGGAAGCTTCAACCCTGTGAGATGAAGGCACACATCACAAAGAAGTTTGTCAGAATGCTTCTGTCTAGTTTTTATGTGAAGGTATTTCCTTTCCACAATAGGCCTCAAAGCGCTCCAAGAGTCCACTTGCCTATACTAGAAAAGGAGTGTTTCAAAACTGCCCAATGAAAAGTAAGGTTCAACTCTGTGAGATAAATGCACACATCATAAAGAAGTTTGTCAGAATGCTTCTGTCTAGTTATTATGGGAAGATATTTCCTTTTCCACCATAGGCCTCAATGCACTCCAAATGTCCAATTGCAGACTGTACAAAAAGAGTATTTCATAGGTGCTCAAACAAAAAAAGGTTCAACTCTGTGAGATGAATGCACACATCACAAAGAAGTTTGTTAGAATCCTTCTGTCTAGTTTTTATGTGAAGATATTTCCTTTTCCACCGTAGGCCTCAAAGCACTCCAAATGTCCACTTGCAGATTCTACAAAAAGAGTATTTCAAAGCTGCTCAATCAAAAGAAAGGTTCAACTCTGTGAGATGAATGCACACATCACAAAGAAGTTTGTCAGAATGCTTCTGTCTAGTTTTCATGTGAAGACATTTCCTTTTCCGCGATAGGCCTCATAGCGCTCCAAATGTCCTATTGCAGATTCTACAAAAAGAGTGTTTCAAAACTGCTGAATGAAAAGTGAGGTTCAACTCTGTGAGATGAATGCACACATCACAAAGTATTTTCTCAGAATGATTCTGTCTAGTTTTCATGTGAAGACATTTTCTTTTCTGCGATAGGCCTCATAGCGCTCCAAATGTCCACTTGCAGATTCAACAAAAAGAGTGTTCCAAAACTGCTCAATGAAAAGTGAGGTTCAACTCTGTGAGATGAATGCAGACATCACAAAGAAGTTTGTCAGAATGCTTCTGTCTAGTTTTCATGTGAAGACATTTCCTTTTCCGCGATAGGCCTCATAGCGCTCCAAATGTCCACTTGCAGATTCTATAAAAAGGGTGTTTCAAAACTGGACAGAAACATTCTGACAAACTTCTTTGTGATATGTGCCTTCATCTTACCGTGTTGAACATTTCTTTTGATTGAGCAGTTTTAAAACACTCTTTTTGTAGAATCTACAAGTGGACATTTGGAGCGCTTTGAGGCTTATGGTGGAAAAGGAAATATCTTCACATAAAAACTAAACAGAAGCATTCTGACAAACTTCTTTGTGACATGTGCAATCATCTCACAGAGTTAAAACTTTCTTTTGATTGAGAAGCTTTGAAACACGCTTTTTGTAGAATCTGCAAGTTGACATTTGGAGCGTTTTGAGGCCTATGGTGGATAACGAAATATTTTCATGTAAAAAGTAGACAGAAGCATTCTTAGGAACTACATTGTTATGTGTGAATTCATCTTACAGAGTTGAACCTTTCTTTTGATTGAGCAGTTTTGAAACACTATTTTTGTAGAATCTGCAAGTGGATATTTGGTGTGCTTTGAGCCCTATGGTGGAAAAGGAAGTATCTTCACATAAATCTAGACAGAAGCATTCTGAGAAACTTCTTTGTGGTGTCTGCCTGACACACAGAGTTGAACCTTCCTTTTGGTTGAAAAGTTTCGATACAGTCTTTTTGTAGAATCTGCAAGTGGGTATTTGGAGAGCTTTGCGTCCACCAGTGGAAAAGGAAATATCTTCACATAAAAACTATACAGAAGCATTCTGAGAAACTTCTTTGTGATGTGTGCATTCATCTCACAGAGGTGAACATTTCTTTTAAATGAACAGTTTTGAGACACTCTTTTTGTACAATCTGCAAGTGGATATTTGGAGTGCTTAAGGCCTATGGTGGAAAAGGAAATATTTTCACATAAAAACTAGACAGAAGCATTTTGAGAAACTTCTTTGTGATGTGTGTATTCAACTAACAAAGTTGAACCTTTCTTTTGATAGAGCAGCTTTGAGACACTCTTTTTGTATAATCTGCAAGTGGATATTTGGAGCGCTACGTGGCCTATGGTGGAAAAGGAAATATCTTAACATAAAAACTAGACAGAAACATTCTGAGAAAGTTCCTTGTGATGCATGCTTTCAACTCACAGGCTTGAGCCTCTTTTGATTTAGCAGTTTTCAAACACTCTTTTTGTAGAATCTGCAAGTGGAGATTTGGAGTGACTTGAGGCCTATGGTGGAATAGGAAATATCTTTACACAAAAACTAGACAGTAGCATTCTGCGAAACTTCTTAGGGATATGTGTGTTCATTTCACAGAGTTGAACCTTTGTTTTGATTGAGCAGTTTAGAAAAACTCTTTTTGTAAAATCTGCAATATTTGAAGCATTTTGAGGTGTATGGTGGAAAAGGAAATATCTTCACATAAAAACTAGACAGAAGAATTCTGAGAAACTTCTTTGTGATGTGTGCATTCATCTCACAGAATTGAACCTTTCTTTTGATTGAGCAGTTTTGAAACACTCTTTTTGTAGAATCTGCTTTGGATATTTGGAGCGCTTTGGGGCCTATGGTGGAAAAGAAAATATCTTCACATAAAAACTAGACAGAAGCATTCTGAGAATCTTCTTTGTGATGTGTGCATTCAACTCACAGAGTTGAACTTTTCTTCTGATTGAGCAGTTTTTAAACACTCTTTTTGTACAATCTGCATGTGGATATTTGGTTCGCTTTGGGGTCTATGGTGGAAAAGGAAATATCTTCACATAAAAACTAGACAGACGCATTCTGAGAAACTTCCTTGTGATGTGTGCATTCACCTCACAGAACTGAAAAGTTCTTTTGATTGAGCAGTTTTGAAACACACCTTTTGTAAAATCTGCAAGTGTATATTTAGAGTGCTTTGCAGCCTACGGTGGAAAAGGAAATATCTTCATATAAAAACTAGACAGAAGCATTCTGAGAGAAAATTATTTGTAATGTGTGCATTCAACTCACAGAGTTGAAACTTTCTTTTGATGGAGCATTTTTGAAACACTCATTTTGTGGAATCTGCAAGTGGATATTTGGAATGCTTTTCAGCTTAGGGTGGAAAAGGAAAAATCTTCATATAAAAAGTAGGCAGAAGCATTCTGAGAAACTTATTTGTGATGTGTGCAGTCAACTCACACAGTTGAACATTTCTTTTCATTGAGCATTTTGGAAACACTCTTTTTGTAGAATCTGCAAGTGGATATTTGGAGTGCTACATTGCATGTGGTGGAAAAGGAAATACCTTCACATAAAAACTAGACAGAAGCGTTCTGAGAAACGTCTTTGTGGTGCATGCTTTCAACTCACAGGCTTGAGCCTCTTTTGATTTCGCATTTTTCAAACACTCTTTTTGTAGAATCTGCAAATGGAGATTTGGAGAGATTTGAGACCTATGGTGGAATAGGAAATATCTTCACAGAAAAACTAGACAGTAGCATTGTGAGAAACACCTTTCTGATATGTGCATTCATTTCACAGAGTTGAACATTTCTTTTCAGTGAGCAGTTGTGAAACACTCTTTTTGCAGAATCTGCATGTGGGTATTTGGAGCGCTTTGCACCCTATGGTGGAAAAGGAAGATTCTTCACATAAAAGCTAGACAGAAGCATCTGAGGAACTTCTTTGTGATATGTCCATTCATCTTACAGAGTTGAAGCTTTCTTTCAATTCAGCAGTTTTGAAACAATCTTTTTGTAGAATCTGCAAGTGGATAATTGGGACGCTTTGGGGCCTATGTTGGAAAAGGAAATATCTTCATATAAAAACTAGATAGAAGCATTCTTAGAAACTTCTTTGTGAGGTGTACATTCATCTCACAGAGTGGAACCTTTCTTTTGATTGAGCAGTTTAGAAATACTCTTTTTGTAGAACCTGCAATAGGTAATTGGAGCACTTTGAGGCGTATGGTGGAAAAGGAAATATCTTAAAATAAAAACTAGACAGAAGCATTCTGGGAAACTTCTTTGTGATGCGTGCATTCATCTCACAGAGTTGAACCTTTCTTTTGAATGAGCAGTTTTGAAACACTCTTTTTGTCGAATCTGCTTTGGATATTTGGAGCACTTTGGGGCCTATGGTGAAAAAGGAAATATCTTCACATAAAAACTACACAGAAGAATTTTGAGAATCTTCTTTGTGAGGTGTGTGTTCATCACACAGAGTTGAACTTTTCTTTTGATTGAGCAGTTTGGAAACACTCTTTTTGTGGTATCTGAAAGTGGATATTTGGAGCGCTTTGTGGCCTATGGTGGAAAAGGAAATATCTTCATATAAAAACTAGACAGAGGCATTCTGAGAAGCTGTTTTCTGATGTGGGCATTCATCCCACAGAGTTGAACTTTTCTTTTGATTGAGAAGTATTGAAACTCTTTTTTTGTAGAATTTGCAAGTGGATACTTGGAGGGCTTTGAGGCCTATGGTGGAAAAGGAAATATCTTCACATAAAAACTAGAAAGAAGCATTCTGAGAAATTTCCTTGTGATGTGTGCATTCAAATGACAGAGTTGAACTATTCTTTTGATTGAGCAGTGTGGAGACAGTCTTTTGGTAGTATCTGAAAATGGATATTAGGAGTGCTTTGAGTCCTATAGAGTAGAAGGAAATATCTTCATATAAAAACTAATCAGAAGCATTCTGAGAAACTTCTTTGTGATGGGTGCATTCATCACACAGAGTTGAACCTTTCTTTTGATTGAGCATTTTTGAAAAACTCTTTTTGTATAATCTGCAAGTGCATATTTGCAGCACTTTGAGGCCCTTGGTGGAAAAGGAAATATCTTCACATAAAAACTAGACAGATCATTCTGAGAAACTTCTTTGTGATGTGTGCGTTCATCTCACAGAGTTGTACATTTCTTTTGATGGAGCAGTTTTGAAACACTCTCTTTGTAGAACCTGCAAGAGGATATTTGGAGCGCTTTGTGGCCTATGGTGGAAAAGGAAATATCTTCCCATAAAAACCAGACAGAAGCATTCTGAGAAACTTCTTTGTGATGTGTGCATTCATTACACAAAGGTGAAACTTTCTTTTGATTGAGCAGTTTGCAACACTACTTTTCTAGAGTCTGGTATTGGATATTTGGAGCGATTTGCAGCCTATGGTGTAAAAGAAAATATCTTCACATAAAAAGTAGATAGAAGCATTCTGAGAAACATCTTTGTGATGTGTGCATTCATCCCACAGTGTTTAACCTATCTTTTGATTGAGCAGTTTGGAAACCTTCTTTTGGAGAATCTGTAAATGGATATTTGAAGGGTTTTGAGGACTATGGTGGAAAAGGAAATATCTTTACATAAAAACTAGGCAGAAGCATTCTGTGAAACTTCCTTGTAATGTACGCATTCATCGCACAAAGTTGAACCTTTGTTTTAATTGAGCAGTTAAGAAACACTCTTTTTGTAGAATCTGCAAGTGGATATTTGGCATGATTTGCAGCCTATGGCTTAAAAGGCAATACCTTCATATAAAAACTAGACAGAAGTATTCTGGGAAACTTCT
>NC_000020.11:29651610-29697363 GCF_000001405.40 Homo sapiens | reverse complement strand
CCTTTCTTTTTTTTTTTATTATACTTTAAGTTTTAGGGTACATGTGCACATTGTGCAGGTTAGTTACATATGTATACATGTGCCATGCTGGTGCGCTGCACCCACTAACTCATCATCTAGCATTATGTAATCTCAAGAGTCCACTTGCAGATTCTACAAAAAGAGTGTTTCAAAACTGCTCTATTAAAAGAAAGGTTCAACTCTGTGAGTCGAATGCACGCATCACAAAGCTGTTTCTCAGAATTATTCTGTCTAGTTTTTATGGGAGGATATTCCCATTTCCAACGAAGGCTTCAAAGAAGTCCAAATGTCCACTTGCAGATTCTACGAAAAGAGTGTCTCAAAACTGTTCTATGAAAAAGTATGTTCAACTCTGTGAGTTAAATGCAAACACCAGAAAGCAATTTCTGAGAATTCTTCTGTCTGGTTTTTAAGTTAAAATATTTCCTTTTCCACCGTAGGCCTCAAAGCTCTCCAAATGTCCACATGCACATTCTACAAAAAGAATGTTTCAAAACAGCTGTATCAAAAGAAAGGTTCAACTCTGTGAGTTGAATGCAAACATCAAAGAGAAGATTCTGAGAATGCTTCTGTCTGGTTTTTATGTGAAGATATTCCCGTTTCCAACGAAGGCCTCAAAGCAGTCCAAATATCCACGTGCAGATTCCACGAAAGGTGTTTGAAAACTGTTCTTTGAAAAAGTATGTTCAACACAGTTAGTTGAATGCAAACATCACAAAGAAGTATAGGAGAATGCTTCTGTCTAGTTTGTATGTGAAGATATATCTTTTTCCACCATGGGCCATAAAGCCCTCAAATGTCCACTTGCAGATTCTACAGAAAGAGTGTTTCAAAGCTGCTCTATAAAAAGAAAGGTTCAACTCTGTGAGTTGAATGCACACATCACAAAGTAGTTTCTCAGAATACTTCTGTCTAGTTTTTATGTGAAGATATTCCCATTTCCAACGAAGGCCTCAAAGCAGTCCAAATGTCCACTTGCAGATTCTACGAAAAGAGTGTCTCAAAACTGTTCTATGAAAAAGTATGTTCAACTCTGTGAGTTGAATGCAAACATCACAAAGACATTTCTGAGAATGCTTCTGTCTGGTTTTTACGTTAAAATATTTCTTTTTCCACTGTAGGCCTCAAAGCTCTCCAAATGTCCACTTGTGCATTCTACAAAAAGAGTGTTTCAAAACAGCTGTATCAAAAGAAAGGTTCAAATCTGTGAGTTGAATGCACACATCACAAAGAAGTTTCTGAGAATGCTTCTGTCTAGTTTTTATATGAAGATATTCCCGTTTCCAACGAAGGCCTCAAAGCAGTTCAAATATGCACTTGCAGATACAAGGATAAGAGTGTTTCGAAACTGCTCTATGAAAAGGTATGTTCAACTCTGTTAGTTGAAGGAACACATCAAAAAGAAGTTTCTGAGAATGCTTCTGTCTGGTTATTATGTGAAGATATTTCCTTTCCAACATAGGCCTCAAAGCTCTGCAAATGTCCACTTGCAGATCCTACAAAATGAGTGTTTCAAAACCGCTCAATCAAAAGAAAGATTCAACTCTGTGAGTTGAATGCACCCATCACAAAGTGGTTTCTGAGAATGCTTCTGTCTAGTTTTTATGTGAAGATATTCCCGTTTCCAACGATGGCCTCAAAGCAGTCCAAATGTCCACTTGCAGATTCTACGAAAAGAGTGTTTCAAAACTGCTCAATGAAAAGGTATGTTGAACTCTGTGAGTTGAATGAAAGCATCAGAAAGAAGTTCCTGAGAATGCTTCTGTCTAATTTTTATGTGAAGATATTTACTTCCACCACGGACCTCAAAGGTCTCCAAATGACCACTTGCAGATTCTGCAAAATGAGTGTTTCAATACTGCTCCATCAAAAGAAAGGTTCAACTCTGTGAATTGAATGCAGGCATCAGAAAGAAGTTTCTGAGAATTCTTCTGTCTAGTTTTTATGTGAACATATTCCCGTTTACAACGAAGGCCTCAAAGCAGTCCAAATATCCACTGGCAGATTCTATGAAAACAGTGTTTCAAATCTGCTCTATGAAAAGGTATCTTCAACTCTGTGAGTTGAATGCAAACAACACAAAGAAGTTTCTGAGAATGTTTCTGTCTAGTTTTTATGTGAAGATATTTGCTTTTCCACCATATGCCTCAAAGCTCTCCAAATGTCCACTTGCAGATTCTACAAAAAGTGTGTATCAAAACTGCTCATCAAAAGAAAGGTTCAACTCTGTGAGTTGAATGCACACATCACGGGGAGTTTCTGAGAATATTTCTGTCTAGTTTTTATGTGTAGATATTCCCGTTTCCAAAGAAAGCCTCAAAGCAATCCAAATATCCACTTGCACATTCTAAGAAAAGAGTGTTTCAAAACTGATCTATGGAAAGATATGTTAAATTCTGTGAGTTGGATACAAACATCGCAAAGAAGTTTCTGAGAATGCTTCTGTCTGGATTTTATGTGAAGATATTTCCTTTTCTACCATAGGCCTCAAAGCTTTCCAAATGTCCACTTGCAGATTCTACAAAAAGAGTGTTTCAAAACTGCTCTGACAAAAGAAAGTTTCAACTCTGTAAGTTGAATGCACACATCTCAAAGAAGTTTCTGAGAATGCTTCTGTCTAGTTTTTATGTGAAGAAATTTCCTGTTTCACCGTAGGCCTCAAAGCACTCCAAATGTCCACTTGCAGATTCTATAAAAAGAGTGTTTCAAAACTGCTCTATCAAAAGAAAGGTTCAACTCTGTGAGTTGAATGCACACATGACAAAGAAGTTTCTGAGAATGCTTCTGTCTGGTTTTTGTGAATATATCCCTTTTCCAAGGAAGGCCTCAAAGCAGTCCAAATATCCACTTCCAAATTCTACAAAAAGCGGGTTTCAAAAATGCTCTATGAAATGGAATGTTCAAATCAGTGAGTTGAAAGCAAACAACACGAATAGGTTTCTGAGAATGCTTCTGTGTAATTTTTATGTGAAGATATTTCCTTTTTCACGATAAGCCTCAAAGCCATCCAAATGTCCAGTTGCAGATTCTACAAAAAGGTTTTTTAAAAACTGCTTTATCAAAAGAAGTGTTCAACTCTGTGAGTTGAATGCACACATCAAAAAGAAGTTTCTGATAATCCTTCTGTCTAGTTTTTATTTGAAGATGTTTCCTTTTTCACCATAGGCCTCAAAGCACTCCAAATGTCCACTTGCAGATTCTAGAAAAACACTGTTTCAAAACTGCTCTATCAAAAGAAAGGTTCAACTCTGTGAGTTGAATGCACACATCAGAAAGTAGTTTCTGAGAATGTTTCTGTCTAGTTTTTATGACGATGTCCCTTTTCCAATGAAGGCCTCAAAGCGGTCCAAATATCCACTTGCAAATTCTACAAAAAGAGTGTTTCAAAACTGCTCTATGAAAAGGAGTGTTCAACTCTGTGAATTGAAAGCAAACAACACAAAGAAGTTTCTGTGAATGCTTCTGTGTAGTTTTTAGGTGAAGATATTTCCTTTTTCACCGTAGGCCTCTTAGCACTCCAAATGTCCCCTTGCATACTCTACAAACGGAGTGTTTCAAAACTGCTCTATCTAAAGAAAGGTCCAACTCTGGGAGTTAAATGCACACATCAGAAAGAAGTTTCTGAGAGTGCTTCTGTCTAGTTTTTAACCTTTTCACCATAGGCCTCAAAGAACTCCAAATGTCCACTCACAGTTTCTACAAAAAGAGTGTTTCTAAACTGCTCTATCAAAAGAACGGTTCAACTCTGTGAGTTGAATGCATCCATCACAAAGAAGTTTCTGTGAATGCTTCTGTCTAGTTTTTGTGAACATATCCCCTTTCCAAAGAAGGCCCCAAAGCAGTCCAAATATCCACTTGCAGATTCCACAAAAAGAGTGTTTCAAAACTGCTCATGAAAAGCTATGTTAAACTCTGTGTGTTGAAAGCAAACATCACCAAGAAGTTTCTGAGAATGCTTCTGTGTAGTTTTTATGTGAAGATATTTCCTTTTTCACCACAGGCTTCAAAGCGCTCCAAATGTCCACTTGCAGATTCTACAAAAAGTGTGTTTCAAAACTGCTCTATCAAAAGAAAGCTTCAACACTGTGAGTTGAATGCACACATCACAAAATAGTTTCTGAGAATGCTCCTGTCTAGTTTTTGTGACGATATCCCATTTCCAACGAAGGCATCAAAGAGGTCCAAATATCCACCTGCAAATTCTACAAAAAGAGTGTTTCAAAACTGCTCTATCAAAAGAAAGGTTCAACTGTGTGAGTTGAAAGCAAATAACACAAATAAATTTCTGAGAATGCTTCTGTCTAGTTTTTATGTTAAGATATTTTCTTTTTCACCATAGGCCTCAAAGCCCTCCAAATGTCCACTTCCAGATTGTACAAAAAGAGTGTCTCAAAACTGCTCTATCAAAAGAATGGTTCAATTCTGTGAGTTGAATGCACACATGACAAAGAAGTTTCTGAGAATGCTTCTGTGTAGTTGTTTTGTGAAGATATTTCCATTTTCATCACAGGCTTCAAAGTCCTCCAAATGACCACTTGCAGATGCTACAAAAAGATTGTTTCATAACTGCTCTATCAAAAGAAAGGTTCAGCTCTTTGAGATGAATGCACACATCGCAACGCATTTTCTGGGAATGTTTCTGTCTAGTTTTTGTGAAGATATCCCGTTTCCAACGAAGGCCTCAAAGCAGTCCAAATATCCACTTGCGAAATCTACATAAGGAGTGTTTCAAAACTGCTCTATGAAAAGGAATGTTCAACTCTTTGAGTTGAAAGCAAACAACTCAAAGAAGTTTATGAGAATGTTTCTGTGTAGTTTTTATGTGAAGATATTCCCTTTTTCACCACAGGCTTCAAAGGGCCCCAAATGTCCAGTTGCAGATTCTACAAAAAGAGTGTTTCAAAACTGCTCTATCAAAAGAAAGAGTTGAATACACACATCACAAAAAAGTTTCTGAGAATGCTTCTGTGTAGTTTTTATGTGAAGATATTTCCTTTTTCACCATGGGCCTCAAAGAGCTACAAATGTCCACTTGCGGATACTTCAAAAAGAGTGGTTCAAAACTGCTCTATCAACAGAAAGTTTCACCTCTGTGAGTTGAATGCACACATCACAAAGCAGTTTCTGAGAACGCTTCTGTCTAGTTTTTATGTGATGATATTCCCATTTCCAACGAAGGCCTCAAAGAGCTCCAAATATCCACTAGCAGATTCTACAAAAGGAGTGTTTCAAAACTGCTCTATAAAAAGAAAGTTTCAGCTCTGTGAGTTGAATGCACACATCACAAAGAAGTTTCTAAGAATTATTCTCTCTAGTTTTTGTGTGAATATATTTCCTTTTCCACCCTAGGTCTCAAATCGCTCCAAATATCCCCTTGCAGATTCTACAAAAAGACTGATTCAAAACTGCTCTATCAAAGGACATGTTCAACTCTGTGAGTTGAATGCAAACATCACAAAGAAGTTTCTCAAAATCCTTCCGTCTAGTTTTTAATGGGAAGATATTTTCTTTTCCACCATAGGACTCAAAGCGCTCCAAATAAACAATTGCAGATTCTACAAAAAGAGTGTTTCGAAACTGCTCTAGCCAAAGAAAGGTTAAACTCCGTGAGCTGAATGCACACATCACAAAGAACTTTCTGAGAATGCTTCTGTCTACTTTCTCTGGTAAGATACTGCCGTTTCCAACGTAGGCCTCAAAAATCTCCAAATATCCACTATCAGATTCTACAAAAGGAGTGTTTCAAAAGTGCTCTATCAAAAGAAAAGTTCCTCTGTTAGCTGAATGCACACATCACAAAGAAGTTCGTGAGAATGTTTCTGTCTAGTTTTTATGTAAAGATATTTCTTTTTCCACCATAGGCCTCAAATCGCACCAAATACCCACTTGCAGATCCAACAAAAAGACTGTTTCAAAACTGCTGTCTCAAAAGGAAGGTTCAACTCTGTGAGTTGAATGCACACATCACAAAGAAGTTTCTGAGAAACCTTCAGTCTTGTTTTTATGTAAAGATAATTCCTTTTCCACTATAGGCCTCAAAGCGCGCCAAATGAACACTTGCATATTCGACAAAAGGACTGTTTTGAAACTGCTCTATCGAAAGAAAGGTTCGACTCTGTGAGTTGAATGCACACATCACAATGAAGTTTCTGAGAATGCTTCTGCATAGTTTCTATGTGAAGATATTCTTGATCCCATCGAATGTCTCAAAGAGCTCCAAATATCCACTAGCAGATTCTACAAAAGGAGTGTTTCAAAACTTCCCCATTCAAGCAGAAACACGTTTGGAGAGAGAAGAAAACATGACACGGATCTCCAGGAAGTGTCTCCCTGACAGACTAGAAAGTCATGTTTGTTGAAGACATTTGGCCAGAGCGAGAGGCATCCAGGCCCCTGAGAAACAGGAGAGGAAATAGCAGAGGGAGAAGAGAGCAGAGGCCGGAGCCTGGAGCCCAGGCAGGATACAGCACCGTGACACCGCCACGGGAATAGGGGGAGGGGTTCCAAAAGGCTGGATTCTCCAGAGAGGCCAGTGGTTCAGTGACAGGGACTGTTGCCGTCTTCATTCCCGGCTTCCTCTTTCAGACTGTATCGTGGTGTGGCTTCATTTCTCAGAGAAGAGCCCGTGAAAGATACAACCATCTTCTCTGACTTGGGTCCGCTCCTCTCCTGCAGGACAAAGAGCTCCTGTGGGGCTCTTGTCCTCGGCTGCAGTGTGTTCATCTTGATCCTAGAAAAGATGCCGCTCAGGATGGGGATGAGATTTCAATTGCTCCGGGACCGATGCATCTCCTCACATGGGCCAGGCCTTCACACACCCAAAGCGGGTCCGCGGCGGCGAAGACGATTGACAACCGGCTGCACGACCCAGGCAGAGACTCAGAAAGAGGCTCACCAAAGACAGGCCGACATGCGAGAAATCGCTCTGTGGCGCACAGGGCGCATTCGGCCAGAGACATACATGCAGACTGACAGAGAGAGGGAAAGAAACACACAGAGACCGAGAGACAAAGAGAGAAAAGAGAATGGCAGACACACACACACACACACACTCACACACACACACTCACACACACACACTCACACACACACACAGACACACACACAGGATCATAGAGCAGAGGCATTGAAACACACACCCCCAGGCAACCCCTGAGGCTGCCGGGTTCTGCTTTCCACGAGAACGACCCTCGGGTGACAGAGCAGCCCAGTGGCACGCAGGCCGACCTGTCCTCGAGACCACGGCGGCATGACTTTTGGGGAGACTCACCCCAACACCGTCTGGGCAGGCCTGAGGCTGGGATGCCATGCTGCTTCCCGCGGACTCCTCCTGGGGTTTCCTCAACCTGGTCGGCCCTTTGCGACCCCTGGCATCCGGAGACGTTCCCGTCGACCCCGTGGAGAGGTCAGGCCAGAGCCTCAGAGCCCCGACACCCAAGCACTGCCACGGAGGGCTCCTGCTCTGCCAAGCCTCAGGGACTGGTTTCTAAGACAACGGCGGGAAGCATTGTGACGGGAGAAACCGCTTGTGCCTCGCGCATGCGCATTGGCTGCTCTGACTCGCCCTCTGCTCCTGGCAGTCAGGCTGCGTCCCCTTTAAGTAACGCCTCCGCGCAGCAGTGGCAGCGACAGCGAGGCTCCTCCTGCAGCCCTGGCGGCAGCTGGATCCGGGGTCCAGATTGGGGCGGCGTGGGAGAGGGGGCCGAGGGTGTCCTGTCCCAGGGCCAAACCCCCAGGAGTCCTGTCCTCAGGATTTCCTTGAGCCGACTTCCAACGAGGGAGCCGGAGCTTCAGGACGCCTGCTCTGTTCTCGGGACTCCCCTTCAGATCAGATTTGGGCCCATCCGAGTGAGATAGGATGGGCTCACCACATCTGGTGAGGCAGGCAGGGTCTCGCTGCAGCACAGAATGATCCCATAGATCTCAAGGCGTAGCGTCAGCTGAAAATTCACTGATCCATCAGCCCTCTGCCTCCCTCCTCCTTTGAAAGAGCAGTGGCCTTTCCTTCTTCTCAAAGCCCTGGGGCTCTGGAAAGCCCACCGCGCTTTACAGGACATCTACAAACAGGAAGAGGGGTGAATCCGAGGTGGAGACCATGAGACCACGCGTGGCACTGGCGTATCCCACAGCAGATGGTGTGAATGTGTGTCACCGGAGGCATATGGGGTGACGGCGAAACAAACGGTGGAGTCCAGGCATGTGCCTGTGGAAGGGGGGAACAAGAGACTTTTCCTTCAATGCCAAGGAAAATCACAGAACACCTGGGACCCGGGGGTTGGGTGGGCCTGGGCCTGACCCAAGCCACATTTTCAAATGCCTACCAGAGGAGCAAAGAGGTTTCTGCAAAATTCGCCCCACCCCCAACCCTCCACCGCCCTGGTAGCCCTGACACAATTTCCCCTGCACCCAGCCCCAGCCCCAGCCACAGCCCAGTCCCTTTGGTTCCCTGACATTCGTTTGGGCCAGAAGATCAAGGGAGTCAGCCCACCCAGGAGCAGAGGAGAGGATGTCCCTCAAGAATGAGACAGGAAGTGCAGAGGAAACGCGACACCACTTGTCCTAGGAGACAAGGCCAGTCATGGTCGCCTAGCGCTCCTTCTAGGCAATCCACCCACCCATGAGGGGAAACGTGGAGAAGAAGGTAACTCCTCTGTCTGAGACACGTATGGAAGCCAAGAGCTCCAGGGTCATGAGACCTCCCCAATCAAGCAGAAACACGTTTGGAGAGGAAGCAATCATGACACGGATCTCCAGGAAGTGTCTCCCTGACGGACTAGGCAGTCATCTTCGTTGAAGACATTTGGCCAGAGCGAGAGGCATCCAGGCCCCTGAGAAACAGGGGAGGCACAGCAAGAGGGAGGACAGAGCAGAGGCCAGTGCCTGGAGCCCAGGCAGGATACAGCACTGTGCCACCACCACTGGCCTAAGGTGTGGGGTTCCAAAAGGGTGGCTTGTCCAGAGAGGCCAGCGTTCCAGTGACAGGGATTGTTGCCATCTCCCATTCCCGGCTTCCTCTTCCAGACTGTATCGTGGTGTGGCTTCATTTCTCAGAGAAGAGCTGTGAAAAGATACAACCATCTTCTCTGACGTGGGTCTGCTACTCTCCTGCAGGACAAAGAGCTCCTGTGGGGCTCTTGTCCTCGGCTGCAGTGTGTTCATCTTGATCCTAGAAAACAGGCCGCTCAGGATGAGGCTGCTCAGGCTGCAACCCCTTTAAATTAGTCCACCGCTGCTTGGCGGCAGCGAGTCTCCTCCTGCAGCCACGGTGGTGGCTGCATCCGGGGTCCAGTTGGGGGTGGCGTTTGAGAGGGGGCCACGGGGGTCCTTTCCAAGCACGAAACTCCCAGGAGTCCTGTCCTCAGGACCTCCTTGAGCAGACTTCCACCGAGGGAGGGGGAGCTTCAGGACGTCTGCTGTGTTCTCCGGACTCCCCTTCAGATCTGATTTTGGCCCCTTCCGAGTGAGATAGGATGGGCTCACCACACCTGATGAGGCAGGCAGGGCCTCGCTGCAGCACAAATCGATCCCATGAGTCTCAAGGCTTGTTGTCAGTTGAAAATTCACTGATCCATCAGCCCTCTGCCTCCCTCCTCCTTTGAAAGAGCAGTGGCCTGCCCTGCTTCTAAAAGCTCTGGGCCTCCGGAAAGCCGAGAGTGCTTTACAGGACATGAGCAAACAGGAACTGGGGTGAATCCGAGGTGGAGACCATGCGGCCAGGCGTGGTACTGGTGTATCCCAGAGCAGATGGTGTGATTGTGTGTCACCGGAGGCATATGGGGCGACGGTGCAACAAACGGTGGTGTTCATGCTTGTGCCCAGTGGACAGTGCACATTTGGGTTAATGCTGAAATGAGTTAAGACTTTCGGGTACTGTTGGGAAGGCGTAATAAGTTTTGAAACGTGAGGACATGAGATTTGGAGAGGACATGAGATTTGGAGGGTCCAGGAGTGGAAAAACATGGTTTGACTATGTCCCTACCCACATCTCAACTTGAATTGTATTGCTCAGAATTCCTACGTGTTCAGGGAGGGAACCAGACGGAGGTAGTTGAATCTTTGGGGCCGGTCTTTCCCATGCTATTCTTTTGATAGTGGATAAATCTCACAAGATCTGATGGGATTATTAGGGGTTTCGTCTTTTGCTTCTTTTGCCTCCTTCTCATATTCTCTTGCCACTGCCATGTAAGAAGTGCTGTTCACCCGCTGCCATAACTCTGAGGCCTCCTCAACCATGTGAAACCCTAAATCCAATTAAGCCTCTTTTTCTTCCCTGTCTCAGGTATGTCTTCATCAGCACTGCGAATGTGGACTAATACATTTTATATTGTCAAACTTCTTAATAATTGTGGGGAGAATAGATGTGTAGTATCTTGTGCATTTTCCTGATTACTAATGAGGTTGAGAAATTTTTTTACATTTTGCGTGCTTTCTCTTTTGAGAAATCCCTATTGATGTCTTTTCCAAATTTTCTGTTGGGTTTCTATTTTTAAAATTAATTCATAGGAGCTCCTTATACTTAGTTGATCTGATTGTAATCTTTCATAGGTTTTAGGTACCGCAAATATCTTCTAATTTATAGTTTATCTTTTCACTTTTTTACTTTTATTTTTTAATTTCTTTTTTTTTTTTTTTTTTTTTTTTTTTTAGACAGAGTCTAGCTCTGTTATTCAGGCTGGAGTGCAGTGGCTCACTGCAACCTCCATCTCCTGGGTTCAGACGATTCTCGTGCCTCAGCTTCCCAAGTAGCTGGGATTACAGGTGTCTGCCACTAATGCCAAGCTAATTTCTTGTATTTTTAGGAGAGATGGCATTTCACCATGTTGGCCAGCCTGGTCTCAAACTCCTGACCTCAGGTGATGTACTGTTGGGATTACAGGATTGAGACACTGTGCCCAGCTTATCTTTCCACTTTTTGATGTAAAAAGTTCTTAATTTTGTGATAGTCAAAATGTCTAATCTTTTTTAATAGTTAAATGGCTTTTTGTGTCTCATTCACTTACATTATCTACTAAAAGTTTTGAAGTTTTGTTTCTGACATGTAAGTCTTTGGTCCTCTGGAATTTAATGTTTGTATATAGAGCAAGGCAGGAATATAATTTCATTTTGTTTCTTATATCAATAACCATTATTTTTCTATTCTATTTATTGAAAAGTCCTTTCTTTCCTTGCTGATCTGCCATGTCACCTACATCACATATCAAAGATTAAATTTGTGGAGATTTGTTTGGGAACTCTCTATTCTGTTTAATTAGTCAGTTTATCAGTGAGGACCACACTGTCTTAACTGCTGTAGCTTTATAAAAGTTCTGATATTTGCCAGCACAAATCTTTCCTCTTCTTCAATAATGTCTTTGATATTTTGGCCCCTTCCCTTTTCCATATATATATATATGTATGTGTATATATATATATATATATATATATATATATATATATATATATATATGGGTGTGTATATATATATATATGGATATATATATATATATGGATATTATATATATCTTTATATATAGAGAGAGACAGGGTCTGACTTTGTTGCCCAGGCTTGAGGACTGGTGCAGTCGTAGCTCACTGCAGACTTGAACTGCTGGGCTCAAGAACTCCTCCTACCTCAGCCTCTCAAGTAACTGGGACTCTAATGCACGCACCACCTCATCCAGCTAATTTTAAAAATATATATATATTATTTTTGTAACGATGGGGATCTTGCTATGCTGCCCAGGCTGGTCTCAAACTTTCATCCTCAAGCAATCCTCCCACCTCAGGCTCTCAAAGTGCTGGGATCACAAGAGTGAGCCACCACACCTGGCTCCATTTTCCATATTTTAAGACCAATTTTTAAAAGCTGCTCAAGACTGCTTTTTTCTCTTGGTGCTACTGGCAACTCCCTTACTTAGCTTTGGAAATACACTTAATGAAGAAAATCTAAAGAGTTGAAAAATAAAATGTTATTTCTTTTCTTCCAATTGCAAAAGAGCAGACAGCCTCCTGAATTACAAAGCTAGTTTTGATAAATTGTTGAACTGAGAGCATACACAGTATTATTAATTCTGTTCTAATTTCTGCTTCACTGTGGAGTGTCTTCACAGAGTCTTAAAATATTGCTATGAAATATTCTTATACATGTAACACATAACCTCTACAACTCTGCAGTTGTACTTGGCTGTCTTAACTAATAATCAATTGCTTTGCTTCATAATATTTAAATTGGCATCTTTATTTTCCAAAATGCATAAATACTAGTAAAGATTTTTTAGTTAAGCCAGAAGAAAGTAGACTTTATTTACTAACATAACTTATATGTAAAGGTTTAATAAATCTCCCTGCATCTTTTCTTTTGCATCATAACAACCACTGAAAATAGTATTTCTATAGCAGTTGGGGGTAAATGGACAACGACTTTTGTGGTCAGAGGTGAATGACCCAGGGGCTCCTGCACTCCAGGTCCCACTGAGCCTGCCACACAGCTAAGGGCATCGGTATTTCCACACACCTACAGTGCACGCTGTCCCAGAACACAGATCAGATGCTCTCCTTTATTCAAATGGGGAGTTGAGAGTATTGTCATTGTAATTAAATTAATAAATACATATTTATAAACTGTTAAAATCTGGTTGGATTTGTGTCCCTTCACAAAACAAATTGCTTAAATGAAACCACAGAGTTATCATAAATGAGTACATTTGCTTCTATGAGATGCTCTTTTAAATGGAATTAGAATCTAAATTGAAATGTCAATTAAAAGTTTAAATATTCAATTCAATTACATTTAGATTTTTGTTTTGTTTTGTTTTGAGACAGAATTTAGCTCTTGTCACACAGGCTGGAATGCAGTGGCGCAATCTCAGATCACTGCAAGCACCTTCTCCCAGGTTCAAGCAATTCTCTTGCCTCAACCTCCTGAGTAGCTGGGATTACAGGTGCCTGTCACCATGCCTGGCTAATTTTTGTATTTTCAGTAGAGATGGGGTTTCACCATGTTGGCCAGGCTGGTCTTGAACTCCTGACCTCACGTGATCCACCCACCTTGGCCTCCCAAAGTGCTGGGATTACAGGTGTGAGCCACCACGCTTGGCCTTTTTAGATTATTTTACTTTATTTTAGTTACTTATTTTTATGACTTTATTGTTATAAAAATGCTAGCTTTTTTAAAAAATCAATCAATATAACAAAGAACATAGAAGATTATCAACAAGCATTCCCACTTCCATGATCTGGAAATAACTGTCATCAATCCAAAAACTGACACATGGTGGATCCCTTCACACCAGTTCCCAGTACAAAGTAACCCCTTGCTTGTAGAAAACATTATTATTATCATTAGTATTTTCGAGACGGAATTTGAGTCTTGTAGCCCAGGCTGGAGTGCAATGGTCCAATCTCAGCTCACTGCAACTTCTGCCTCCCAGGATCAAAGTATTCTCCTGCCTCAGCCTCCCAAGCAGCTGGGATTACAGGCATGCACCACCATGGCGTGCTAATTTTTTGTATTTTTAGTAGAGACAGGGTTTCACCATGTTGGCCAGGCTGGTGTCGAATTCCTGACCTCAGGTGATCCACTTGCCTCAACCTTCGAAAGTGTTGGGATTACAGGCATGACCCACAACACCTGGACTAGAAAGCACTATTCAATAGCAAAGAGTAGCAGTATGCTTGGGGGTTTTAGGATTGTTTATTTTCAAATCTCTAGAAAAGTTCAATGCATTACCTTAGGCTATAATCCCAGGGCAGTCTCATCTGTTAATAGGGGGCTGGTCTAAGGGTCCTTCCAGCTCTCAGATTAATGGTTTCCCATGTTGAACTGCTCCCTGCCACCCACGCATCCTTGGTTTTGTTTGTTTGTTTGTTTGTTTTTACAGAGACAAGGTCTCACTATATTGCCCAGGCTGGTCTACAACTCCTGGCCTCAAGCGATCCTCCCGCCTTGGCCTCCCAAAGTGTTGGAGTTACAGATGTGAGCCTTTGTGCTCAGCCCATCCTTGGCTGTTCAAATGTGGAGGTAAATTGTAGATGCCAAGTTTACCTCCAGGTCTGAAGGGTCAGATGCCCCAGGGCAGAATCATAACCCTAACCAGGCCTCCCACTGCATGAAGAAATTATTTTCTGAAGCTTAAACCTGGACAAAGGTCTGACCAGTAGCACTGTGTTCATGAATGCCAGGTCAAAAATTTAAAACTGGGACTATCCAGAAGAACCTGGTAGATGCAGGTGCAGTCCGCAGTCCAATGGTCAGCCACAAAAACAGGCTACCTGTTCTTTCTCTTTACCATGGAGTCCTTGATGTAAAAATCGATGACACTTTCTTGCTTCTGGTGTGCTTCCCTTCTTCAATTTCCATAAGTAGTTTCCTCCATCCCACCTCCCAACAGGCCACAGTCAATTCAGGACATTTTGACCATGAAAATCAGTCCACATAAGATGAATTTAGAGGCCAGGCAGGGTGGCTCATGTCTCTGGGAGGCTGAAGTGGGAGAATAGCTTGAGCTCAGGAGTTTGAGACCAGCCTGGGCAACATGGTAAAACCCTGTCTCTAACCAAAAATAAATGAATAAAAAAAAAATAAGTCATGTATGGTGGTGCATGCTACTAGTCTGGCTACTCAGGAGTCTGAGGTGGGAGGATTGCTTGAGTCAAGGAGGTCAAGTCTGAAGTGGGCCAAGATCATGCCATTGCAATCCAGCCTGGGCAACAGAGTGAGACCTTATCTCACGAGAAAAAAAAAGATTTAAAGGACAGACTGACTCTCTTATTACAAGCCAATGCTCATTTGCCATTCCATAAATCCTAGGGCACATCTTAAGAATTATGCTAAATCTACTCTACCCGTGCTCTATAAATGGATTCACTATTGTAGATGCCACTAAGAACATTCATGATTCACCAGAGGAGGTAAAAATAGCAGCATTAATGGGAGTTTGGAAGAAGTTGATTCTAACCCCCATAAATGACTTTGAGGGGTTCAAGACATTAGCAGAGGAAGTAACCACAGATGTGGTGAAGATAGCAAGAGGATTAGTATTAAAAGTGGAGCGTGAAGATGTGAGTGAATTGTTGCAATTTTTTTTTTTTTTTTTGAGATGGAGTTTTGCTCTTGTTGCCCAGGCTGGAGTGCAATGGTGCGATCTCAGCTCACTGCAACCTCCAACTCCTGGGTTCAAATGATTCTCCTGCCTCAGCCTCCCGAGTAGCTGGTATTGTAGACATGTGCCACAACACCCGGCTAATTTTGCATTTTTAGTACAGACGGAGTTTCACCATATTGTTCAGGCTGGTCTCGAACTCCCAACGTCAGATGATCCACCCGTTTCAGCCTACAAAAGTGCTGAGATTACAGGCATGAGCCACCGCACCTGGCCAGATTGCTGCAATCTTAATGGATGAGGAGTTGCTTATTATGAATGAGCAAAGAAAGTGGTTTCTTGGGATGGAATCTACTCCTGGTGAAGATGCCATGAACATTGTGGAAAGAACGACAAAGGACTTAGAATATTCCACAAACTTAGTTGACAGAGGAGTGGCAGGGTTTGAGAGGATTGGGTCTAGTTTTGCTATAAATTCTACTGTGGGTAAAATGCTACCAAACTGCGTAGCATGCTACAGTGAAATCTTTTGTGAAAGCAAGAGTCAGTGAACGCGGCAAACTTCCCTGTCATGTTATTTTAAGAAATTGCCACACCCTCTCCAGCCCTCAGCAACCATCACCCTGATCAGTCAGTAGCTATCAACACTGAGACAAGACCATCCACCAGCAAAATGATTATGACTTGCTGAAGGCCCAGATGATGGTTAGCATTTATTGGCAATCAAGTATTTTCAAAGTAAGGTATATACATTATATTTTAGACATAATGCTATTGCACACTTAATTGACTACAGTAGTTTAAACACAACTTTCTTTTTTGAGTTGGAGTCTCACTCTGTTGCCCAGGTTGGAGTGCAGTGGTGTGATCTTGTCTCACCGCAAACTCTGCTTCCCAGGTTGAAACAATTCTCCTGCCTCAGCCTCTTGAGTAGCTATGAATACAGGCGCTCACCACCATTTTTGTATTTTCACGGGGTTTCCCCATGTTGGCCAGGCTGGTCTCAAACTTCTGACCTCTGGTGATCCACCCGCCTCAGCCTCCCAATGTGCTGGGATTACAGGCGTGAGCCACCATGCCCGGCAACATAACTTTTATATGCACCAGAAAGCAAAAAATTTCTTGTGACTCGCAAAAAATTTCATGTGACTTGCTCTATTGTGATATTCGTCTTATTGTGGTGACTGCAATATCTCCAAGGTGTGCCTGTACCCCTGAAAGCAGAGCTGGAGTAAAGACTTGGGTGTGGATGATTTATTTGGGCAGTTATTCCAAGAAGCAAGAGTGAGATGTGGGAGGAGTGAGCCAGGCAAGAAAAAAAAGCCAAAATAATAGAATGCCATTGAGGCTGCTCCCATGGACTTTTTTTATGCGGGACCTTCCGAGAGGCTCTGGAAAGTTATCCAGGACTGTCCACCTGAAACACAAGCCTCGAGCATTTGCCCACCTGTCCCACACTGGTTGAGGTCTTCCCCTGAGGCTGTTAACCTGCAAGTGTTTCTGGGCTGTATTTGTGCTTAGGCAAAACCCTACAATAGTGGAGATGTCCCGGGGCGGAAAGTGTAGCTTGAGTTTGCTGGCAGCACAAGGGAAGCCTGTGCTTCCAAGGAACTCCCCACGGTGGCTGAGACTGAAAGAAAGGTGCGCTGAGAAGACGTGATGCAGTCGTCATTGCACAGAGGAATCATAGCCATCGATCTTGGCAAGAGGACCCCCGCCCTGAATCCTGCGCTTGAGAAGGTGCCTCTCTGGCCCTCCACTGACTGTACCCTGGCCCACCCAGAGCTCTCACCCTCTCTTCTAGGGCACACACTGGACACTCAGGACCCTGGCCAAATGTACCTGAGCCTGCATGGCCTCTTCCCTGGGTCAATTTCAAAGTGAAAACTGTGCTTGTCCAAATGGTGCCCAAGGCTCTGCTGTCTGAAGGGGTTAGAATTGCGGATGGAGCTTCCATGGGGCCTAGGGAGTCCCCCACACAGGAGAACGCAAGGCTTCTCAAGTAAGGACAAGGCTAGCTATGATGAAAGAAAAAAATGTAGCCTGGGGCTGAGGATCAGCTCTCCCTTTACTACCACATTCCCATGCAGAGCACCAAGAACTCAGAGAATTCTACACTGGACTTTGACCTTGTGGGTTATTATGGCGGTATAGTTATTGAAGTAGAAGAATAGAACATATTTAGCTTTTTTTAGCTTCATTTATATTTCATAATTATTTAGACATAATGCAAATATGGGCTGGAATTCATGTTCTGATTTTTGTGGCCTTGAGCTAAGGAAAAGGGACCCAGGAAATGGGATTTATGTGCTTGGATGGCTTCATGGAATCCCCAACTTCATTAGCTTCTGTGATGACTCAAGATTGTTGCTAAAATCCACTTTGTATTTTCTTTAAAAACCAAGGAATATTATGTAGCTCAGCGGTTAGAAGGCACTTGACTCAAAATATCTATGAACCAAAGGATATAAATGATTAAGAGCAGGAGGATCATTACCTGAAGGGGTGGAGGGTTGATCTCAGGATATGACCTGTGAAATCCTTCCTGCTGGCTCAGTGCTGACTGAACGTGGGGCAAGAGAGCCCCAGGAGCAACACATATCTGGGATAGGAGGGAATGCTGGGAGGAAGGAAAGAGAAATAAGCCCTTTTTGTTTTTATTGATACATTACAATTATAATTATTTCTAGGGTACATGTGATATTTTGATACATGCATACAATGTGCACTGATCAAATCAAGATAATTTGCATATCCATCACCTCAAATATTTATCATTTATTTGTGTTAGGAAAATTCCATATCTTTCCTCTAGCCATTTTGAAATGTATAATAAGTTATTGTTAACGATCATCACCCTTTTGTGTTATTGAACACTAGAACTTCTTCTGTTCCTTCCATCTAACTGTATTTTTGTGCCCATTAACCAACTTCTGGGAAGGGTAAAAGAGTGGGTGGATGAAAAGGGCCCTTCTTAAGGCAAAGAAAATCTTACAAGAAGGGAAGACATCTTAGAAGGAAAAATAAAAAGGTGGACCATGGACTTAGAGTGGGGACTGCAGAAATTGAATGGCAAAGAAAAAACCAACTTAGCGATGTGAAAATAAATCTCAATGTCATTCCTTTCACAGGTCCAATGTCTGATATTCTTTTGGCAAGCTGTATGAAGTAGGAATCTTTCTTTGAGTCATACATTTTTGTGATTATGATTATTATTAATAATAGCTGACAATTATTGAGAGCAATTATTGAGGACAATTATTGAGCTTTGACAAGATCTTTTCAAAGACCTTTATATATGTTTTCTCCACTTCTAACTGTTAGATATTCTTATTATTCCCGTTTTGTAGATGAGGGATGTACAGGCATAAAGCCTATGTGGAGGCAGAGAGCAGCTAAGTAACCTGACCATGGCCCAACAGCAAACAAATGATGGGGCCACATGCAAATCCAGGCAGAACCCTTCTGTTATATGAAGCTCAATGTTTTCTTGTTTTCATCTTGTTATGAATAAGCCTATTTACAAAGGGGTTTTGAAGCTACATTAAAACATTTTGTGGTCATGCGCGGTGGCTGATGCCTATAATCCCAGCATTTTGGGAGACCAAAGTGGGCAGATCGCCTGAGCTCAGGAGTTTGAGACCAGCCTGGCCAACTTGGTGAAACCCTGTGTCTATTAAAAATAAAAAAAATAAAAAAAAGCCGGGCGTGTTAGTGTGCACCTGTAAACCCAGCTACTCTGGAGGCTGAGGCAGGAGAATCGCTTGAACCCGGGAGAGGAAGGTTGCAGTAAGCCGAGATCGTGCCACTGCACTCCAGCCTGGGCGACAGAGTGAGACTCTGTCTCTAAACAAACAAACAAACAAACAAATAAATAAATAAATAAGATTGAATTTTGAGCTCCTGACCATGTCCCTAGATTGTACTCATATGTATTTTGATGTCTTCTAAGATTTATTCTTAGTGCGTTTTTTAAGTTAAAGTATTTACTGAGCATCTACTGTATATCACGTGCTGATATGGGCATCAGCGGTGCAGGGAACATATGGCACAGTCTCTGCCCTCAAGTAAATTTCACTCACCACATATATTTATTAGGACACCGATACATGTGTGAATATAAGATAGTAAGATAGACATTGCAACAAATAATTATTTACTGTAAACCTATTTCATAGGATTTTAATCTTAAAATACTTTCACCCTATTTCCAAAAAATATGCATTGCATAACTGTAAATGGATTCTCAGTTTGAAATCATCATATGAACTGCAGTAGCATCTGCTGGTGAAATACTGCTTTGTATCTATTAGAATAGTCCAAACAATTGGGAGAGAACTGCATTATTAGAGCTGTAAAAGTTACTGTCGAGAAATCTCGGAAAGAAGAGGAAGTTCTATGGTAGATGACTAAGATGACATCTAAACTGTTCTCTTAAGCTACTGAAGTTCTGTGGATATCTCACAGCACAAAGTTCAAGTGTATGCCCACAGCTCCTCATGCCACAAGATGTGACACCTTTCCAATCTCTTTTTGCAAAAGTTTCCAATTCTGTCTCTTATAAGAGTATTTTTTATACCCACATATTCCAGATTTTGTAGTGCACGCAAAGACAAGATGGGAAGGGGGCTTCCATTGGTTGATGCCAGCTGCTTTATGGACCAGGCCCTGCCCATGAATCCCTGTTGGTTCTTTTATCACCACATCAGCCATAGCCCATAGGCATTAACCTCCATTGTACAGATGAAGAAATTGAAACTCTAAGAGAATATGCAATTTGCCCAGAGTCATGCAGCTTGTGTATATAAGAGTTGGAATGAAAATCCAATCTGAGTCTCAAGTCCCCTTCCACAATATGGTTTCCATTTCATTTTGCAATCACCTTAGCTGGGATATGTCTGCCCTAAAAGATACTAAGTAGGAATACTTGTCTCTATACCTTAACCTAACATCCATGGGCTTCATTTTTGTATTTGGAGGTGTCATAACATTATAATAATTTGATTTTATTTGAATAGTGAGTATTATACTACTCAGTCTAGAGATTTGTGACATCCCAGTCTAAACTGGATGATAGCAATGAAGCTTCTTCAAGGAGACAAGTATGAGTAATAAGGTAGAAATAAGTTGAATTTCTATGGAGTTGCTACTTCTGAATTTAAAGCTAGCTGAGGTTAAGTAGATATTCAAAAAGATCGCTGTAATCTTCACTTGAATAATATAAACATTTATTATTTTTACATATTTATTTATTTATGGAACATAGATGTAATTTTAAAACAAAATATTTGCAAATTGTATTAAAATATATTAAAAACAAAATACATTATGACCCAATAGAGTTGTTCAAAGTAACTCAGTGTTAGTTTAAAATGTGAAATTCAATCAACATAATTCACCATAGAATATAGTGTGTATGTCAGTATAATGTATATCAAAATTGGAAAGAAGTAAATTTATCTTTGTTTTTTAGTAAGATGAAATTAAAATTTTAGGGAATTTCAATTTTCATTTTAGATTCTGGAGGGTACCTGTGCAGGTTTATTACATAGGTGTATTGTGTGATGTTGAGATTTGGGGTATGAATGAAGGTGTGAGTGCCTGTCTTGAGTTTGCACCCAGAGCAATCTCCCCTGATCAGCAGAGGGTAAACTAACTTGAATTACACTTGAATTTCTTAGGAGAGCAGGTCACAAAGGGCAAATTGTGGTCCAGAGACAAAAGTGTCCAATGGTCTAAATTGAGCCTGCCATATCACTTACGGTACAGGTCTTAACACAAATACATTTCAGAAAGGGGTCAAACCCTTGTTTAAAGATAAATGTAAGCTGGGTATGGAGGCACCCATCTATAATTCCAGCTAATCAGGAGGCTGAGGCAGGAGGATCCCTTGAATTCAGGAGTTTAAGACCAGCCTGGACAACATAGGAAGATCCCATCTCAATTTTTAAAAATGAGAAAAAAATAGATAAATGTAAGCATATTAACAATTTAAAGAGTTTAAGCAAACAGAGATTCATGGATCAGCCAGCTCCAAACTGAAAGTGGTTGGAGGATCTACTGGAGGCGTTTGTAGGGAAGGCTTTTATAGGGTGAATGTAGAAGTAGAGTAGAGAAATTATTTGTTTGGCAAAAATTTGGGCAGTTGCATTATTGGAACTATCCTGGTGGTAGGTCTCTCATTACACAGCTAATACTTAGTGGGCCACTTGTTGGTGGGCTGAGCTTGTTTCATTTTGTCTACACAGGAACCCTGGCCATGGGAGCTATCTCAGCCTAATGCTCTCCCATTACGTTATTTTACACCTCTCTGTAGCAGGGTAAGCGCGGATCTTCCCCACGAGGCTTCTTACCACCCTGTTTCCCTCAGCAAAATGAAACTGGCCCTTTTGCCTCTGTAGGCCATCTTCTGAACAGGACTTCCCTAATATTCTTAGCTCATCTTATTTTATCTTATCCTTTTCTCTGTACCTTGTTTACATGCTTCTGGAACACTTGTGTGTCTTGCACCCATCCCCTGCATTATTTAGGCAATCCTAAAAGAAGACCGCTAGGATGGATTGGTAGAGAACTGCTGGCATATTGAGCCCTCTCTTCTTGTATCTGTAACTTTCATAATTACCTTAGTTCTCCAGGCCAATTTTGCAATTATCTTCGTTCTCCACTTCAAAATACATTTACCTCTGACAGAAGCAGAGCACATAAAAGAGATCTTGTCCAGTGGTACATATGAGGCAGGAGACATGATATAGTTAAAATTATAAACTAAAAGCTTTCTGACACCAAAAGCATAAGTAACAAAGGAAAAAAACAAGTAAATTGGACTTCACCAAAATTTAAAACTTTTGTACAATCAGAGGACAACTGGCAGAATGGAAGAAAATATTTCAAATAATATCTTTGATAAGGGATCAATATGCAGAATATATAAATAATTCCTACAACTCAACAATAAATAAACAACCCTATTAAAAAATAGGCAAAGGACTTACATAGAAAATTTCCCAAAAAAGATATATAAGTGGCCATCAAGCACATGAAAAGATGCTCAACATCACTGATTACTAAGGAAATGCAAATCAAAACCATAGTAAGATACAACTTCATACACATTAAGATGGCAATCATCAAAAAAGCAGGGAATAACAAGTGTTGGTGAGGATGTAGCCAAATCGAAACTCTTGTACATTGGCAGTGGACTCTACAGTGGTATACTCATGGTGGAAAAGAGTACAGTGCTTCCAAAATTAAAAATAAATGGAACATAGGCTGGGATCAGTGGTTCATGCCTGTTATCCCAGCACTTTAGGACACCGAGGTGGCCAGATCACGAAGTCAGGAGTTCAAGACCAGCCTGACCAACATGGTGAAAACCTGTCTCAACTAAAAATACAAAAATTAACTGGGCGTGGTGCTGCGTGCCTGTAATCCAAGCTACTCAGGAGGCTGAGACAGCAGAATCACTTGAATCTGGGAAGTGGAGGTTGCAGTGAGTCAAGAGAGTCAGACTCCTTCTCAAAAATAAATAAATAAATAAATAGATAAATAAATAAAAATGAAACATAGAATTACTATATCAGTTACCAAGTCCACTTCTGGGTTTAAACCCCCAAAAATTGAAAGCAGGGACTTCAACAGATATTTGCAAATTCATGTGCATAGCAACTTTATTCATGATAGCCAAAAGGTGGAAGCATTCATTGACAGAAGAATGGATAAACAAAATGTCGTACAGATATACAGTGGAATATTACTTAGCCTTAAAAAGGGACATTCTGTGGAATGTGGTTTGAAAACCTCTTCCGTAAGGTGTTGTGTAAATGTACAAAATCCAAACCAGGTTAGTAACCTCAAAATATAAAATTTAACTTATAATATTAAGACCCTGATAAATTTTACTCTCTGCTTCATAGCAAATAATTTATTTTGAATGCAGATATATTTTGTTAAGTAGAAGACTGTGCACTAAAATATAGTCCTTAAACCAAAATCCTATGTATAAAAGCACATATTTTCTATTGATTTGCATTTTTTAAATGTAAAAAGGGATTCACATTTCTATGTGTAAAATGCCAGACTCAAAATACTTTTACTGCTATGATTCCATGTCTTATTTACTGAGGAGGCAAACCATACTAACCCAGAATCATGGTTTTGTGACCATCCATTTTAAATATAATTGCCTCTACTATTTCTAAGTCCCTGTTCTGCAACCCTGTGGATCTTTTAAATTTGAGAAACAGTTTTGATGGGTCCTGCATTGAGTATTATTATTTCCCAGAGGTACTATTAATAGTTTATGGCCAAGCCATCCATCCCTGAGTTTCCATTAAAAGAAACAGGGTCTATGACACTGCAACTTTTTCCCATCATTGACCATCTGCTCTTGCTCCTCAGGAGCTCCCCGTGCCTCCCTGTGTATGTCTATCCCTGCAAATGCCAAGGATATGGAATAAGTGAGCCTACTGCCCCTGTGGCACTGCAGGGGGACTCCTTGGTGAAGTGTCTACATCTATCTGATGTCTCCTCACTTCTTCAATCTGTTCGCTAATGTAGAATTAGATCAGGCACAAGCTATCACAAAAAAAGAAACATAGAGTGTTTGATGTCCACAAATGTATTCACTGTAGGTAACTTAGAAATACATATGCACAAAATCCAAACCAAATATACACCCTAAATATCACCACTAGAAACAACTATTTTGGAATACTTACAGTACTCTCATTATAACTTTAATTAGTCACTTGTGATCTTTTTTACTTAAAACTTAAAAACTGAGTACTAAAGGATTTTTTAAGATACCCAACTGGTAGAAAAACCTAATCTACTATTTTCACAAAACTTCAACACAATAAACGCTTATTGCAAAAGCGGAAGCATTCCCTTTGAAAACTGGCACAAGACAAGGATGCCCTCTCTGACGACTCCTATTCAGCATAGGATTGGAAGTTCTGGCCAGGGCAATCATGCAAGAGAAAGAAATAAAAGGTATCCAATAGGAAGAGGGGAAGTCAAACTGCCTCTGTTTGCAGGTGACATGACTGTATATGTAGAAAACCCCATCGTCTCAGCCCCAAAACTCTTTAAGCTGCAACTTCAGCAAAGTATCAGGATGCAAAATCAATGTGAAAAAATCACAAGTATTCATATACACCAATAATAGACAAGCAGAGAGACAAATAATGAGTCAATTCCCATTCACAATTGCTACAAAGAATAAACTACCAAGGAATAGAACTTACAAGGGACATGAAGGACCTCTTCAAGGAGAACTACAAACCACTGCTCAAGAAAATAACACAGGACACAAACAAATGAAAAAAAAAATGTCCATACTCATGGATAGGAAGAATCAATATAATGAAAATGTCCATACTGCTCAATGTAATTTATAGATTCAATGCTATTCCTATCAGGCTACTATTGACTTTCTTCACAGAATTAGAAAAAAACACTTTAAATTCCATATGGAACCAAAAAAGGGTCCATATAGCCAAGATAATCCTAAGCAAAAAGAACAAAGTTGGAGGCATCACGCTACCTGACTTCAAACCATACTACAAGGCTATGATAACCAAAACAGCATGGTTTTGGTACCTAACAAATATATAGACCAATGGAACAGAACAGAGACCTCAAAAATAATACCACACATCTACAACCATCTGGTCTTCAACAAACCTGATAAAAACAAGCAACAGGGAAAGGATTCCCTATTTCATAAATGGTGCTGAGAAAACTGGCTAGCCATATGCAGAAAACAGAAACTGGGCCCCTTACTTACACCTTATACAAAAATTAACTCGAGACAGATTGAAAACATAAAACCACAAAAACCCTAGAAGAAAGCCTAGCCAATACCATTCAGGACATAGGGATGAGCAGACTTCATGACTAAAACACCAAAAGCAATTGCAACAAAAGCCAAAATTGACAAATGGAATCTAATTAAACTAAAAAGCTTCTGCACAGCAAAAGAAACTATCATCAGTGTGAACTGGCAACCTGAAGAGTGGGAGAACATTTTTGTGATCTACCCATTGGACAAAGGTCTAATATCCAGAGTCTACAAGGTACTTAAACAAATTTACAAGAAAAAAACAACCCTATTAAAAAGTGGGTGAAGGATATAAGCAGACACTTCTCAAAAGAAGACATTGAGGGCCAAGCATGGTGACTCACACCTGTAATCCCAGCACTTTGGGAGGCCGGGGTGGGTGGATCACCCGAGGTCAAGAGTTCAAGACCAGCCTGGTTAACATGGTGAAACCCCGTTTCAACTAAAAATACAAAAAATTAGCTGGGCATGGTGATGCATGCCTGTAATCCCAGCTACTTGGGAGGCTGAGGCAGGAGAATCACTTGAACCCAGGAGGCGGAGGTTGCAGTGAGCCGAGATTGTGCTGTTAACTACTCCAGCTTGGGCAACAAGAGTGAAAATCTGACTCAAAAAAAAAAAAGGGGGCATTTATGCAGACATAAACATATGAAAAAATGCTCATCATCACTGGTCATTAGAGAAATACAAATCAAAACCACAGTGAGATACCATCTCATGCCAGTTAGAATGATGATTATTAAAATGTCAGGAAACAACAGATTCTGGCAAGGCTGTGGATAAATAAGAATGCTTTTACACTTTTGGTGAGAGTGTAAATTAGTTCCACCATTGTGGAAGACAGTGTGGCAATTCCTCAATGATCTAGAGCCAGAAATACTATTTGACCCAGCCATCTCATTACAGGGTATATACCAAATAGATTATAAATCATTCTACTATAAAGACACATGCACACATATGTTTAGTGCAGCACTATTTACAATAGCAAATACTTGGAACCAATCCAAAAATGCCCATCAATGATAGACTGGATAAAGAAAATGTGGCATGTATACACCATGGAATACTATGCAGCCATAAAAAAGAATGAGTTCATGTCTTTTGCAGGGACATGGATGAAATTGGAAGCCACCATTCTCAGCAAACTAACACAGGAACAGAAAACCAAACACTGCATTTTCTCATTCATAAATGGGAGTTGAACAATGAGAACACATAGACACATGGAGGGGAAGATTACACACCAGGGCCTGTTGTGGGGTGTGGAGCAAGAGGAGGGAGAGCATTAGAAAAAATACCTAATGCATGTGCAGCTTAAAACCTAGATCATAGGTTGATAGTTGCAGCAAACCACCATGGCACATTTGTACCTATGTAAGAAACCTGCATGTTCTGTACATGTTCTGTCCCAGAACTTAAAGAAAAAAAAAAAAACAAAAGAGAGAAAATCTCTTAAAACTTCACAGAATCTCTAACTTTATTAATATAGTCAGCATACAACAAGGTAATCTTAAAGGTAACATGAGAAATAAAATTTCATGAAAGCATATGTTTGTAGAAATAGCTTGTTTCAGGAAAAACATAGTCTTATTTTTAAAAAATTGTCTCATAATATTTTATGGCATAAAATATCTTCTTTTCTGACAGCCATGTATATCTTTACAACATACACATAATAATCAACTAATAGCCAATCCTCATCAGGATCAATGAAAATCAATTGTTAAAATGATATAAGTTAATATACATTTATTAGGGAAATTCCATGAATTATCTTTTGGACCAAAAAACTATCTAGTCTGTAAATGGATCAGGTTTAGTGCGTTTACAGGGTAGGTACTAAGGCCAGAAACATTCAAGAGAGAGATTCGGACTTCAGAAAGATGAACTTGAGAGAGTTAGCTGCAGGGCAAAAGCACTAATTCAGGACTGGTGGAATAGGATAGCATACAAAAGACATGGGGAAGAAGAGAGTATTTGTTTCCATGCATGCATGTATTGATACAAGCAAGCTTCCATCAAAAAATGACTTTCTTCTAAAGGTTCATATGGCATAAACATTAACACTTTTCCTTTACTGCCTCACAGATCAGCTTTTCCTCCAAAGATTCTCTTTCTGGAAAAGTAAAGTCCAGAAAGAGAAATATTTAATTGTTACAGTCATAAAAATTATACTTATTCACTAATGCTGCAGCCAGGGTAGAAGAGAGAGAAGTTCCAACTTTAGCCATACTTTCATCAACTTTTCCTTCTACTTTTAAAGACAAGCATACAGCAATGAAAGTGAGTGTTGTTATTCTGGAGAATTCTCTTAAATTTATGAAAGAACAAATTGCTCATAATTATGAGATTTTGCAATCAGAAATACATTTCCTATTATAGTTTTTATCAGTGTACCTCAACAGGGAAGGTTGAGAGTTTCTGCTCAACATGATACCATATTACAGTCATGCACCACATAACAATGTTTGGTCAAGGACAGACTTGTATATACGATGGTAGACCCATAAGACTATCTTATTGTATTTTACTGTACCTTTTCTATGTTGATGTTTGTTTAGAAACACAAATATCTACCATTGTGTTACAATTGCCTACTGTATTGAGTAAAGTAACATGCTATAAAGTTTTGTAGCCTAGGAGCGATAGGCTATACGATATTGCCTAGTTGTGCAGTAGTGGGCTGCAATTTAGGTTAGTGTAAGTACACTCTATGAAGTTTGCAGGAAAATGAAATTGCCTAACAACGCATTTTTCAGAAAGTATCTCTGTTATTAAGCGATGCATGATTTTATTCCCCCTCCCTTCTTAATCACCTGACTCCTCATTTGTTCATACCTTGCTTAACTCATCATCTGTCAATTCTTGCCAGTTCATACTCCTCTGCAGTGTATTTAACATTCATCCTTTCACTATCATTTCCATTGTCATGTCTCATATTTCTATTCTCTGTCATCTGGAAAATTGCAAAGTTTCCATGATATGGCACATTGTGGCCTGAGAATATTTATATGTACATTTTCCACTTCTTTTGCACTCTGTCATGAAATTCAATGACCACAGTAGTTTCTTGTTCAAAAGCCACCAATAGCTTTAAAGCACTTATCTAAAAGTGTTCAAGTAGCCTGGTCAAATATCAACATAGCTTACAGTGATTTCACTCTTATTCTACATAAAGGTTATGATTTAATCTGGACATATCTTGTTCTTTCCTGATTCTTATCAGACCATTTCTTCTGTCCTCTAGAATATAGATTTCATGTGGCCGGAAAATTTTTCTGTTTTGTTCTCTGCTATACTTACGGTCCCTAATGATGTGTAGGCATTTAACAAATATTAATAGTGAAAATTATTTAATGAATCAGTTCAGAAATACATGAATATTTCAAATAGTTTTGTCCACATTTTTTAACCTCTGGAAACCCCCCACTTTTTATTTTTTAATGCCGTTGACCACAGTGAGTGGTTTGGTCTCATCATAAGGGAAGATGGATTAGAATGAGTAAGAATTCTTTGATGAGTTTTAGGAAAGCAGAAAGATGTCCTGTTATTGTTTATTCAACAAATGCTTACTGATTAACTCCTGTGTTCAAGGACCTGATTCCGTTGTTTCTATCTTTAAAGGCCTCAAAATCAAGAACTTGAGATAGAAAAAAAACCTACTTAGGACATATTGTTTATTTCAATATTTTGATATTTAATCATAAAATAAAATGAAAAAACATAGAAGTCAGTTGTTTCATTTACTTGAATACATTGGAGAATCTCTGAAAAGGTCACTCAGAAGCCAGATTTGAAGAACGAGTTGAAATTTACTGGAGACATAAATAGAGGAAGGGAACAGTTAGAAGATAGCCCATAAGTGGATTTAAGAATTTTCAGACCAGTTGTGGTGGCTCATGCCTGTAATTTCAATACTTTGGGAGGCTAAGGTGGGAAGATCACTTGAGGCCAGGAGGTCAAGACCAGCCTGGTTAACAGAGTGAGACCCCATCTCTACAAAAATGAAAAGCAAAAACTTAGCTGGGTGTGGCTGCACACCCTTGTAGTCCAAGTTATTCTAGAGGCTGAGGTGGGAGGATTGTTTGAAACGAGGAGTTCAAGGCTGTAGGGAACCATGATTACACCATTGTTCTCCCCCCAGGCTAGGTGATAGAACACAACCCTGTCTCTTAAAAAAAATATGACTTTGAAACATTATGATAAAGTCCTGAAAGTGCTCTTATTCGCCCATCCATTTGCACAATGGAATAGCATGTGCTGTGATAACAGAAGTGTAGGGTGCCATGAGAGTCAATTGGAAGATCATCATACCTGGATTATAGGAAGAAATAAGGGAAAGCAACAAGAAAGATCAGGGAAAGTAGAAGCTGACACATTGCAGGTGACTCAAACGTAAGTGGGTGAAGAAAGAACAGGTAAAGGTCTACTTAAAAAAAAGAAAATAAACAACATCAAATTTAATAAGTTATACAAATTTATTTAAAAAAGCAAGATATATGAGGGTAACAATAACAATAAAATCATAAATCATAAAAAATATAATTGCAAAATCCTGACTGGATTGTTTAAAAAAGAAACAATAAGAAAATAGATAAGTTTCAATAAAATTTAATCAAGATAAAGTACACATTTAAAAATTAGAAATAAAGCATATAACAACAGATGTGAAGATATTTAAAGTTGATACTATGATATATTAATATTTTAAGTCTTAATAAAGTAGATAATTTAACTTTAATACGTGAACACAGCAATAACAAAGTAGTATATACTAAAAAAGAGTAACTTTTCTCCAAAAAAACCTTTACAAGCAATGGACTTATAGATTTCCTTCAATAATCAAGAAATGTGAAATGTCAACAAAATGTTCAATGACATACAAAAATGGGGGGGAACCAAATTTTTAACAAAACTTTTGTAAATCGGATATATAATCTGATAATGGCAACAGTGAAGAAAATTACCGAACTCCTTTCAGATAAACATATGGAAAATCTTAGAAAAACTTACCAATATGTTAATAGAAAGTAATATGAAAATCAGAATAAATATAATAAAATTATTGAACAAAACTCAACATTGATTTCTGATTAAAAAGAAAAACACAGTTATAAGGAAAAGTGGAATTACTAACATCTAACTAATATATTAAGGATGTCAATCTAAAATTTGCTAATAGCATCATATTTACAAAATAATAACTATTAACATGAGAAGGAATGTAAGATTTAATAATTAGCATTATATTACAATTCTGGGAATTCTGATCAATGCAATAAAATATCAAGCCGAAATAACTAATTCAAAAGAGGTGATAACATATTATTTACAAATATTACAAGTATAAGGAAACTTAAAATGATCATTTTCTATAATTTATTATAGTAAATTGTTAAAGTCTACCTTATGAAAATAACACTAAGAGAAAATGTTAACAAAAATATCTTTGGAGTTATTTATGTTAATAAAATTTGGAAAAGCCTAAATATTTAGCTAGAAGGAAACTGTACATTGATATAGACTGGCATTAAACTTAGTTTCTTGATTTGATTAAACTTAGTTTCTATGAAACATTTGTATCATTCAAAGTTGTATGTATAGACACTGACTGAAACACAAAGTGGGTTATAATATTGAATATGTGATATAATGGCAACCATGAAGAAAATATCAGAGAACCAAATGGAAGGAAAAGAGAAGAAACTGAATAATGATTACCTTTGGACAGTGGGATCTTAGTTCCTTTTACTCTTCCTACTAATTTAAAATTTACAAATTTATTACCTTGAGAATATGAGAATACATTGTATTTATAATTAGAAAACATAAAATGTGTGCTAAACAAATATACCAAATTCTGTTTAGAATTCACTTCCCCAAGAAACTTTCCTTGATTAATCCCACTGGCATTGATCATTATTTTATATGGCACCCCCATACTTATGTATTCAGTTTCTACCATATTAATTTGCATGTTTTAAAAAGTCAATTTATAAGCATAATTATGGCATTTCTACATTTATATAGTGTAGTCTCCAAACTGAATTATAAACTTGAGGATATGAGGAACCACAGTGTATTTCCAACTATATTTATACAATAAATCATGTGGTACTTTTCACAGAGTGAATGTTGTTAACTTACTGAACACCTGATGAAACATGGGAAAGATGGCAATGTCTCACAAGAGGAACAGACGTGAAATAAAATCCAACATTCTGTATAATTCTTAGTGTCTCTTAACCCTACTTGTTGAATTACAAAAACTACATATACAAAAATTTGAGCATTATACTCTTTAGCTGTACATTATCATTTCAAAACAAACTTATACATGGCTCTCACTATTACAATAATCTTCCTACTGTAAAAACTTTTAAGCTGTAAATTTCTGCCATTACTACATTACCTTCATATTAATTTAGGCCATACTTCTTTCTGAGTTTCTGTCAATATTCATCTCAAGTATTTTTGTGTAAAAATTAGATAGTAACAGGAAAATAGATAACTGCTTCTAGTAGGTAGAAGTCATTACTACAGCTTTGCCTATTAACACATACACACTATTTCTTCATGTCCCAGATGTTCAGGTATATGGGAATGAAACAAATTAATGAGTTGGAACCTCTTGATTCAGTTATTCTGGTTGCAAATAATCTGTATAGCTCATGGATGATTGTTTTACCCTTGACAAAGTGGCTGCAATTGTTACTTACAGATGTAGCCACATTTAATTTCTTTTCTCCACTCCCCACTGCATTGTATTTGTTATTCTTGATATGAGAAATGTGTTAAGAAACATGCCACTAACTGCATGTGCTCCCTATACAATTAGCTACAGAAAGAGGTGATAACTCATATTATTTACAAATATTACAAGTATAAAGTACCTTAAAATAATCATTTTCTATAATTTGTTATCAATCATTAAGTTTATTTTAACAATTATCAATTAGCTACAGAACACGAGTAGTGTTTCTTACTTTAGCCAGATGTAAACATGTGATGCGGTAATATAGTGAAGAATATTACTCACTTCAGGGGATAGGGCTTTGGTCAAGAATTTTGAGAAACTCTTGAAAAAGGAAAAGAAAACCCTCCATGATAGTAATGCAATTCTAAAAGCAAAAGGGGAAAAAATGTAAATGTATTAAATCAAAAAATATTTTAAGGTAAGGCAAAATAGGTATAGAATGGTGAGTCACATAGAAATTGTGAAAGTGAGTAATGACCCAGAAATCAAAGGAGAGGGAAAAATATGGTAGGTGAATATGGTTGCAATGCTAATTAAAAAATGTTATTAGCAGCTGGCTCAATTCAAGTTTTGAATAAATAGAAATAGAGTGTTTATAACAGTACGCTTAATCTACTGGTGACAATATTAAGATAATTGTTGAAATATACTTAAAAGAAGTTAGTGAAAGCAGAGAATGAAAGACTATTGAACTTTTCTGGTTTGTTGTGTAAAAATTTGCCTATATCCAACATACAGGCACAAAAATAAAATACAGGAAATAGAGAGCAAATCTTGGCCATTCAAATGAGAGTCAGCTATTAATTCTTTGGTCATAGGCTGTATTCCTACAAGCAAACTTTGGCTAAAATATGCGATTCAATACAGATACTCATTTTCCAACTGTTTACAACTTGTTTGAGTCCATTTGGACTGCTGTAATAAATTACCTTAGACTGGGTAACTTATAAACCAAATTTATTATTCTCAGTTCTGGGGGTTGGGAAGTCCAAGATCTAGGTGGCAGCAGAGTTGTTACCTGGTGAGGTTTGTTTCTCAGACTTACTGCTACATCTTCACATGGCATAAGGGCAAAAGGGGCAAAGTAGCTCTCTATGGGTTCTTTTGTAAGCGGACTAACCCATTCATGATGGCTCCCCAACCCCCTTAACCTACTCACATCCCAAAGACCTTCCCTATTTATTTATTTATTTATTTATTTATTTATTTATTTATTTATTTATTTTTTGAGATGGAGTCTTGCTCTGTTGCCCAGGCTGGAGTGCAGTGGCACAATCTCAGCTCACTGCAACTTCTGCTTCCCAGGTTCAAGCAATTCTCCTGCCTCAGCCTTCCGAGTAGCTGGGATTACAGTCGTGTGCCACCACACCTGGCTAATTTTTGTATTTTTAGAAGAGATGGGGTTTTACCATGTTGGCCAGGCTGGCCTTGAACTCCTGACCTTGTGATCTGTCCACTTTGGCCTTCCAAAGTGCTGGGATTACAGGTGTGAGCCACTGTGTCCAGCCTGGCCTCACATCTTATCACCAACATATTGGGAATTAGATTTCAATATATGAATTTTGGAGAGATATAAACCTTCAGCCCACAGCACAAACCAAGGATGAATGTTTGAGGCACCTGTCAAAATACACATTTGAAAAGATCAGAATATCTGCAATGCCAAATTAATTACATTAGTAGAGGCAAATTCTAACAATGAAATGAGAAGAACTGCAAACAGAAAGAATCACAGAGAGAACCATTTAATTTTAACATTGAGGAAAAACTTTGAATGTGGGTTCCATTCAATTGTACAACAACTCAATGTATACAGCATCAACACTTTTAAAACATTGAGATAAAATATTTTTGGATTTTATCAAATTTGATGTAATGCTAGAAGAAGAATTCATACTTTGAAGGGACTGTGATAAATTTAAGGATGTATTTAGTTCTGTTTGCACTTGCTACATGCTGTTTCCATTATGAATATTTTCACAAGATTTACATGTCTAGTACATGAGTTGGCTCCTGACCTTGAAGCAATTGTTAGCAATAGATACACTGGTAAAAAAAAAAAAATAGGACTTCTGCTGTCCTGAATGACCATGGACATGTACATCTTAGTATTTATGCATAATAAAAACTTTCAGTTCAGCTTAGTAAATATTTATTGACAATGTGCTAAACATGAGGAGGACTGTGGATAAAGGTGGATGATAAAGATAAATTTAAGTTGGGAAAACTACCACCACTACATCTACAAGGGCTGAGAGTATATACAAGTCAGAAGCACACAGAAATCACTGAACCACAAAGTAAATGGCCGTAAGTGCTGTTATATACCCAAACCATGTCCTACTTATATAGTCCTTTAAATGGATAAATAATACATTAAATCTGACTGGGAAGGAAGAAAGTTTCTAGGAATAGTTCTTTAAAAAGTTGCATCAGTTTTGATTAATACATAGAAAGAGACAGTTACAGAAGAAGAGCTAGCTAACGGAAGACCTAGCATAATTATATTCTTGCACAATATCAGGGAACCCAACAGTTTTGTCAGCAGTAGCTACTTTTAATTTCTTTGGAAACCTGAGATCATCTGGGAAGACTGTGGTAAGTAAGGCTGCTGATGAAGGCTTTGATTAAGAAAGGATTTATCAGGAGCTGGGCACAGTTGCTCATGCCTGTAATCCCGGCCATGTAGGAGGATGAGGCAGGAAGACTGCTTAAGTCCAGGAATTAGAGATTAACCTGGGCAATATAGCCAGACCACCTTCTCTACAAAAAATAAAAAGCAATTAGATGGGCATTGTGGCACATGCCTGTGACCCCAGCTATTGGGGAGACTGTGGTAAAAAGATCACTTGGGACCAGGAGTTTGAGGCCACAATAAGCTATGATTGTGATGGCAGCGGCTGCTGCCATCATGCCAGCTGCAGGGGAGAGGTGTGGCCGGGGTTGTATGCTCCCTGGAGTTTGCAGGATGGGGACAAGTGGAAGCCCTGCCCCTTCTGAGTTGGAATGGGAGCTCCCTGGATGCTGCTTCAGCTGCCCACACTGCAGCTGTAGCTGTAGACCTGGACCTCCCACTCCATGGAGCAGACAGGAGTTTATCCAACTCCCCTACTCTGTCCCCACCCCAGCCCACCACCCAGCCACCCAAACCAATGCTGCAGACTCAGGCAAACCTGTACTCTTGGGGAGGCTGGGAACGACCCCCTTGCCCCTTGCAGGCTTGGAGGCACCTCCTCCTGCTGCCTGGTCTCTCCCACCTCCTGGCTCTGTGCTCTGATCTCAGAGTGGGGTTGGGACCCAGCAGGGTGCTGTCACAGCCCAGCCAGGTGTGCACACATTGGAAGCAGTGCTGACATGCCAGTCCCCTGCCACCTCAGCCCCCTCTGGACTTTGGACACCGAGGAGCAGGAACATGGGAGGGGAAGCTGAGGGGGTCCGACGGTGGCTGGGCACTGGCCTGCAAGTGCCCTTTGATGCCAGAAGCCTGGGTGCCATGGATGGCTGTGGGAGGCAGACAGGCTCCTGGGTGGAAGGGAATTGGTCCCCAGTGAAGCCCAACCTGCAGGCTAGGCTGCCAGTCCTGCAGATTGGAGGCAAAACTCATGGTGCTTTTTCCTGGGCCCGTCCATGGCTGCCCATGGACCAATGGGCATACACTTCCTCCCCTCTGACATCAATAAAAGCCCAGGACTGAGCCAGAACAGGGCAGAAGACAGAGGAGGGAAGACTAGAGTCAGGAAGGAGTTATCCTTTCTGCTGATAGCTGGAGACAATGGGAGGGCCAGCTACTTTCTCTGCTGAATGCTTCAGAGACCTGCAGAGATGTCTGGGAACTAACAGCTGCAGACGGAAACAACCCTCTCCAGGGCTTCCCTTTCTGCTGAGAGCTGAACACTTGACAGAACAACCTAGAGAGGAGCTACCCACTATGGGTCTCCTCTGAGGTGTTCTAACACTTAATAAATCTCCTCTCCTTTAACCCTTCACTTGTCTACCTACACCATTCTTCCTGGATGCAGGACAAGAACTCGGGCAAAGATGCCACCAACCACAGTTTTCCAACCAGAAAATCGACACCCCAAAGATTCCGTAACAATTGCACCACTGCACTCCAGCCTAGGTGACAGAGTGAGACCCTGACTCTTAAAAAAAGAAAAAAAAAGGAATTATCCACAAGTTATTAGATAAGACTGCTAATAGCTTCTAATTGCGATAACTTCCCGTTTGAAATGGCAGGGATGGAAGTTAACACCAGGTCAGTTTTCTGAAAGTTATAGCCCTGCTTTTGGCCTCTTTCAGCTCCAGTCAGACATTAGCAATGCTCAGTTACCTTCAATATTAAGCCGGTCCTGACATGAAACTGGCAGCATTTGAGAACACTGACCCAGACTTGAAGGTAGATCTGGAATTAGGATTGCTGCTTTAAGCCCAGTATCAAGGTATACAATGAATCATGAATTTCTCGTAAACCAAATTTAGTGGATATTTTTCCTATATTTCTGATGATAACTTTGCCTTGATTATATATTTAAACAATTCATTTGCTGTATCTTCATTACTGTCCCAAATGTTTTGGGTTGACATACTGATGTTAACTAGTGGTTTTGGTCTTAAGTTTCAGTAGCTGCTCCAGTGTAAAATGATCACACATAAATCTTAGGTTTTTACTCATATGATACCTTGTCTGATACTATCTTCATCTATCAAATAAAGGCTTTAGTATTTTCTTAGTCAATGTGGGCTGCTATAACAGAAAACACAGATTGAGTGGCTAAAACAACAAACATTTGTTTTTCACAGATCTGTAGGCTGTAAATCTGAAATCAGGGAGTCAGCATGGTTGGGTTCTTGGTGAAGGCTGTCTTCCTGACTTACAGATGGCTGTCCTATTTTATTCTCACATGGAGGAGAGAAAAATCTCTCTGGTATATCTTCTTAGAAGGGCACTACTTTCCTTTGATGAGGGTTTCCTCTTCATGACCTAATTACCTCCCAAAGGTTTACCTCCTAATACTAATACATTGAGAGTTAGGATTTCAACGTATGAATTTGAGGGATTTGCAATTCATAATAACTATCAATGTCAACTCAGTTCAAGCTTGAATTTGTTTTGCTTTGGGTGACAAATCTCTAACTAATTTGAATTCATCTTTCCCCAGTCTGGCTCAATGTTGTCTTCTTTCTCCTTCACCACCAACAGTTAGTAAGATGTCAATTTTACTTGAGGCTAAGTCTGTTTTAGTTATCACAATAGAGAACCCTGTAAGCTATATCTAAGTTGCCCCTTTCATAATATTTTTCATTATGGAAAAAATACATTCTAAACATTGTTCCTATTCTAAGAAATTTGGCTGCATCTTTGCAACAAAAATAATGTGGACCTTTGCCAAATACAGCTGTAGAGAAAGGTAAAATCATTGCTCTGAAGTATTCATAAAATCACAGATATTAGGGACAAACACTAAATAAGGATGAATTATTCAGTGACTTGAAACAGATATTTTCTTTATTTTCTCATGTAATTTGAAATGTACTGCAATTTACATCCTCAGTGTTATAAACATGTGATGTTTCTCTTTTAGTGAAAAGCACCCAACAGAACTTGTTAAATAAATGAGTTTTTTCTCTTCCCATCTCTAAAAGCATTTTTATACCTACACATCTACAAATATGTTTTAATAGACCTAAACACTCTATGATGTCATTTTCCCCTTGGGTACCGGAATATATATTTAGTCCTGTAGAATTATTTAGCTCTCAGGTGCTGAGTTACTATTTCCCAGGAGTTGCATTGCCCAAAGTAAAGTGGACATTTTTCTCATTTTAAATTTCAACTCACATGGTCCTTTGGTTTTGTTACATTTTGTACCTGTTTTGATTGTTTTTTTCCTCTCTATGGAAATTATTTGCCAAGTAAGGAGAAAAAGTGTTGATGTTTTTCCTTATTCAAAAATTATGGTAGATTAAAAAAATCTGATTAAATAACTCTATTACAGTCTTTCTCAAATTTTTACTAAGATAAACATGAAGGTACTGAAAAGGTGAAATTCTCAGCTATTGAAAATTTGGAATGTAGGACATCATGCCGAGATTTGAGGAAAAGTATCAATAATTTACCAAGGGATGGTAGTAGATACACAAAAAGCAATTAGAAGCAAAAAGACCTTGGATTCTTTTCATGTTAAAGAAAATACATTCTGAAAGTAAGTACAAAGACCCTTTGTATTTCCTTTATAACCTGTTCCCTGACAGAATACCAGGGCCTATGCCAAGGGAAAAACTGTGTAGATGTGTTTTTCTCTTCTGGTGCTGATATGGTCATAGGATGGGGACGCTCGCTCTTTGCTATTTCTCTAACCAATCGTATTACTACATCAATTAATATTAAAACATTTCAAGTCTAGTTACTGACAAGAGAGTAAACTAGAGTGGACTCCTGACTCATAACAAGGATTCAGATCTAGAGTTCTCATAGAGTGAAGAGATTATGTTTGCAACTGAGAAACGAATGTAAAAACTGTAAGGAATCCCTGGAGAGTCTGAAAGTCCCTGAGCCCTGATACAGAGAACAAATGGCAGTTTAAGGCTGACCACCTCTCATTCCCTCTACTATTTCTCACATAAGAATATTACAGTACACTCTTCACTGCTCTCTCTGCTTCAAGCTTTGCCCTTCCACCTCTCTATTCCACAGAGAAGGTAGAATGCTCCTCTTAAAATACAAGGTGGATTATTTTACTCATCTGCTTAAAAACTTTTCAATGGCTTCTCATCTCATTCTGAATAAAATTCAAAGTGCTTTCCAGGCTTACAAGTCCCTGTATGATCCTGAGCCTTGACAATATCTCTGACAAAATCTGCAGCCTCCCATTGATCACTCCTTCTCTGTCACACTAGTGTCCTTGCTGCTGTTTTGAAATATAGAAAGCATGATTTTACTTCAGTGTCTTTATCCTTGTTATTTTCTCTGCCTGCCTTCTTCTGTGTCTTGGGCATTCCATATGACTCATCTCCTCATTCCCCTTAGTCCTTTTTCCATGTGGCATTTGAATACAGAAATCTTCACTATCTAAAATTATATTCCCATATCCATAACTTCTTTTATTGCTCTAGATATCCTTACAGCATTTATCATTACCATTTATTAGCTTATTTCTCTTTCCTTACTAAAATGTAAACTAAATACAGACAGAAATTTTTGTAATTAAAAAACACATAACAAAAAAATCTACCATCTTTACAAAATTTTAGGTTTGCAGAACATTTTGTGAATGATATACACATTGTTGTACAGCAGAAATCTAGAATGTTTTTATCTTGCTTGACTGAAACTCCACACCTGGTGAACGGCAACTCCAGATTTCCAGTTTCCTCCAGGCCCTGACAACTACCATTTTATCTTCTGTTTCCATGTGTTTGGCTACTTTCAATACCTCATATAAATGGAATCACGATATATCTGTCTTTGTGTCTGGCTTATTTCACTTAGCACAATATCCTTAAGATTGACACATGTTGAAATACGACAGAATTTCCCTTTTCAAGGCTGAATAATATTCCATTGTGTGTGTATATATATATATACACACATATAGATACACTATACATATATATACCATACTATATATATCATACATATATATATCATACATATATATATCATACATATATATATATATACCATATTTTCATCTGTTCATTTGATGATGGACTTTTAGATTGTTTCTACTTTTTGGCTATTGTGAATAATTCTGTAATGAATATGGGAATGCAAATATCACTTCAAGATCTTGTTTTCAATTATTTTGGAATTATTCAATTATTTTGGAAAAATGTCCACAAGTGGGATTGCTGCATCATATGGTAGGTCTATTTTTTAATGTTTTGAGGACCCTCCATACTGTTTTCCATAGTGGCTCTACCATTTTACATTCCTACTGACAGTACATAAGGTTCTAATTCAATTTCTCCACATCTTCATCAACATTTGCTATTTTCCTTTTTTAAAAAATGATCATACAGTTATGAGGTGATAAATCCTGTTGTGATTTTAATTAGCATTTCCCTGATGATTAATGATGTTGAGTATCTTTTTATATCCCTGTTGGTCATTTGCATGTCTTCCTAAAAAATATCTATTTAAGAATTTAGCCATTTTTAAATTGGGTTATGTGTTTATTTGCTTTTGAGTTATAGGTGTTTCTTATGTATTTTGGATATTAAGCCCTTAGCAAATATACAGTTTTCAAATATTTTCTCCAATTCTGTAGGCTGCCTGTTCACTCCGTTGTGTCCTTTTCTGCACAGAAGCATTTTATCTTGATGTAATCACCCTAACCTATTTTTGCTTTGGTTGCCTGTGCTTTTGGTGTCAAATCCAAGGAATTATTGCCACGACCAATGTGATAAAGCCTTTCTTTATGTTTTCTTGTAAGAGCTTTACAGCTTTAGTTCTTACTTTTAAGTCTTCAATCCATTGGGAGTTAACATTTGTGAACAGTGTAAGATAAGGGTTCACTTTCATTCTTTTGCATATGGATATCCAGTTTTCCCAACAATATTTGTTGAAGAAATTATCCTTTCTCCATTGTATAGTTTTGGCACCCTCGTCAAAGATCATTTGACTATATGCATGTGGGTTTATTTCTGGGCTTTCTTTCTTTCTTTTTTGAGACGGAGTCTTGCTCTGTAACCCAGATGGGAGTGCAGTGTTGTGATCTTGGCTCACTGCAACCTCTTCCTCCTGGGTTCAAGTGATTTTCCTACCTCAGCCTCCTGAGTAGCTGGAATTACAGGTGCCCATAACCATGCCCAGCTAATTTTTGTATTTTTCCATAGAGACGGGGTTTCACCATGTTAGCCAGGCTGGTCTTGAACTCCTGACCTTAAATCATCCGCCCGCCTTGGCCTCCCAATGGGCTTTCTATTCTGTTCCACTAATCCATTCTCTTCCATTCATCTACATGATTAATTTTACGTTAATATCACACTATTGGGATTGCTGTAGCTTTGTAGTATATTTCAAAGTCAGAAAATGTGAGGCCTCTAACTTTGTTTTTCTTTCTTAGGATTGTTTTGGATATTCAGGGTCCATTGTGGTTCCATATGGATTTTAGAATTGTCCTTTCTATTTCTCTAAAATTAGCATTGGAATTTTTATAGGGATTACATTAAATCTGTAAATTGCTTTGGCTAGTATTAGAATTTATAAATATTCTTTCTATTCATCAAAATGAGATGGCTTTCCATTTACTTGTGTCTTCCTTAATTTCTTTCAGCAATATTTTGCAGTAGAATTCATTTTATTAGTTCTAAGAGGTTTTTGTTGAATCTTTAGGGTTTTTTTTATATATAAGATGATGTTTTCTGTGAATAGAGAAAATTTTACTTCTTCCTTTCCAATTTGGAAGGCTTTTATATCTTTTTCTTGCTTAATTATTTTAGCTAGGACTTTCTGCGCTTCATAAAGTCGTCCTTGCCTTGTTCCTGATCCTGATCTTAGAAGAAGAGATTTCAGTTTTTCTTCATTAATATTATGTGAGCTGTGGGTTTTTACAAATGGCCTTTATTCTGTTGGAATAATTTCCTTCTATTCCTATTTTTTCAAGTGTTTTTCTAACGACAGAATGTTGAATTTTGTCAAATGCTCTTTCTCCATCTACAGAGATGAACATGTTATTTTAATTGTTTTGTTAATGTGGCATATTATATTGATTTGCACATGTTGAACCCTTCTTGCATTCCAGGAATAAATCCATCATAATTATGGTGGATGATACTTTATAGTGCTGTTGAATTCAATTTGCTGGTATTTGTTGAGGATTTTGCATCTACATTCATTAGGAATATTTAACTTTTTTTTCTTGTAGCGCCATTGTCTGGCTTTGATATTAGGGTTATGCTAGCTTCACAGAAGGAGTTTAGAATTGTTCTTTCTTCTTTAATTTTTTAGGAATGTTTGAGAAATATTGGCATTAATTCTTCCTTAAATGTTGGCAGAATTCTCTAGTAAAGTCACCTGCGCCTGAGATTTTCTTGGCTGGAAGATTTTTGATTACTAATTTAAACACCTTACTAGCTATAGATTTGTTCATATTTTTATTTCTTCTTGATTCAGTGTTGGGGGTTGTATATTTCCAGTAATTTGATTTTTTTTCTAGGTTATCCAATTACTACCATAATCATTCACATCAGTCTCTTATAATCTTTTCTTATTTCTGTGGCATCAATTGCAATGTCTACTTTTTCATTTTTTATTTTATTTGGTTGAGTCTTTTCTCTTTTTAATTGCCATATTCCATTGTATAGTAATACCACAGTTTTTTTTAAATCTATTCACTTGCATTGGTTCTACTTTCTGGTTATAATGAAAATATGTGTGTGAAAATATCCTTTATTTGCATTAATCTTTATTATTTCTTTCATTTTGCTGGGTTTGGGCTTAGTTCTTCTTTTTTAGTTCCTTGAGTTGTAAAGTTAGGTTGTTTATTTGAGATCCTTCTTCTTTCTTAAGGTAGGCATTTATTGCTATAAATTTCCCTCTTTAGTCCTGCCTTTGCTGCATTTCTAAGTTTTGCTGTGTTGTGTTTTTTATTTTTTTTTTTGTCAGTTTGTTTTCTAATATTGTTTTTGATTTCTTCTTTGACTCATTGGTTGTCCAATTGTATGTTGTTTAATTTCCATATATTTGTAAATGTTTCAGTTTTCCTTCTACTATTGAATTTTTGCTTCATCCTACTTTTGGTCAAAACAGGTTCTTGATTTCCTTTGTCTTAAATTTGTTAAGACTTGTTTTATGACCTACCATGTGATCCATCCTGGAGAATATGTCAGTATATGTCACTTTGCCAGATAATTTATATACCTCCATTTTTGAAGGGTTGATATTTGAAACTTATTTTGTTCCTTTTATTGGGCCATTTTTCCCTGTTTCCTTGTGTGCATTTTAATTTTGTGCTGCGATTCTAGGATTTGAAAAAAATAACCACTTCTCCCTGTCTTTACAGACTGGTTTTGCACTGGGAAATCCTTTCACCAGTCAGCCCAGCTAGAGATTCTGAAGTGTGTCAAATCTTTCCGTGAATGTATTGTCTCTGGAATTGTGTGTAAATTCTTAGAAAAATTTGCAGGTCTTTCTTCAGGAGCGTGTAATCTCTTGCTCTCTTTGTTATCTATCTATAGTACTGTAGGTTATCTGGAGTTGCTATAACCCCCTAGCTCTCTTTTGTTCTCAGCAGTCCTCAGACATCAAGAGTATTCAGTCAGACAGAAAACAGTCCATCAGGCTGACTGGGAAAAGTTGGAATTCTGGATGCACACTCCAGCTTTTTCCTTCTCCAAGGGGAAGCCAGGAGTTGAGGGTTTTCTCCCACTCATTGCATATTGATCCAGGGAAGGATAGTATGATAAGTGAATGTATGCTAACCCAAACTGCCTCAACTCATTTGTTCTTAATATCCCCAACCTGGAAAGCTTTCCTGTTAGCGCTTAAATTCAGGCAAGACAGAAAACAATCACTTGACAACTCCCCTGAAGTCTGAACACTGAATGAGTGTTCCAGTATTCTCTTTCACTTCTGTGGGGGAATCAGGAACTGTAGAATATTCTCCCAATCTTGTTATACTGAGTCACAGGAGGAATGCTGGTGATTGAGTGACAGTCCAAACAGTGGCTTTATCAGCAGGCATGCAATCTGGCATCCTTTCCTGTTAGCACTTAGATTCAGGGTAGATAGGTGCTAGTGCCCTCCCAAAAAGTCAAAATGTTGGACATATGGTCTAGACTTTCCTTTCTCTCCCTAGAGATGAGCTGGGAGTTTGGAGCTTTCTCTCCATTGCGTTGTACTGCTGAGGGAGGATGAGTGAGTGCAACAAATTTACCTGCTGGTTTTGATGTGCCTGGCTTGAAGCCTACCAGGGAATCCAGAGTCTTTAAATTCGCCTCTGTACTTTTCACAAAGGGGATTTATCTGTGTATTATTATTGAGCTGGTGTCTCCTTGGAGAGGAGGGTGGAGGGGCTTTGAGGCTTTCTATTTCATCATCTTGCTGGTGTCCTGACAGGAATTTTAAACTGGGCTCCTTTCCCTGCAGTGTGGGAGAATGGATCCTGACTGATTATAGGTACTCATGAAATACTGGATAAATTATTATTTATCATTTACTTACAAATATTTAAAATTTTTATTATGGGAAATAAGTTTTTAATCACTACTAAAGTTTGTTGAAGCACTACTTCATTATTGTGAAAAGTGGGGAGGGGAATAAAAATCAAGCATTTGTCTACTTATCTTGTTTTCCTGTCCAAACTGTGTTTTGGTGTAATCAATACACATTTGGGAGGAAATGTGGACTGTTGTGGGGTGGGGGGAGGGGGGAGGGATAGCATTGGGAGATATACCTAATGCTAGATGACGAGTTAGTGGGTGCAGCACACCAGCATGGCACATGTATACGTATGTAACTAACCTGCACAATGTGCACATGTACCATAAAACTTAAAGTATAATAATAAATAAATAAATAAATAAAATAAAATAAAAAGCAAAAAAAAGAAAATAAATAAATAAATAATTTGTTATTATTACTATAGTAATATATTAAGTAATACAACACTTTTAATAAAAAGATCCCTAAAATCTTAACATGTATTGTCATTGCTCTATAGCATATTTTTTAAAGAACCTTCTAGATTGAATGGGCTAAGTTAGAAGGCTATATTTAAGTCATTTCTTTAGTTTTTAATAAACGTATTTCAAAGTGAAAATGACAAGGGCTAAAGCATATTGTGAGGTTTAGTGTTGTACTTAGTTCAATGAATTAAATGTCAGACCAAGAACACGAAATATGTACTAGATTTTTTCTTGGACTTTTTATTGTTTAAGGAAATAAATCAAAATTGCTACAATTAAACTGGAAAGAAAAGAGAATAAAGAGCAGAGGTTAAAAGATGGTGTTACAATTAAAGAATTCCCTGTTTGAAAAAAAAAAAAAGGAAATTATTCCAGCTAATAAATGAAGAAAAAAATGAAAGAATGTACCACCCTGTTATAACACCTAGTAAAATAATGGTTGAAACAAGTTTCCTAATGAATGCTAAAACTATTAGGTGAAAAGTTGATACAAACCTTTACTGTGGAGGAATGTGGCTGACATTAATTTCTTATCTGAATTACATTTTTGAAACTTGATGACTCTTTGAATTTAAAAGGGATTTTGGTGTCATTATTTTCTCTTTTACACTCTCTTTTTTCACATAAAAATCAACTATTAACTGATTGGTTTTATGGTCTTTTGGAAAGAAACTATATAAATTCTGCTTTTTGGATGAAGATCTCTTTTACACTGTCAGAGGAAATTTTACCTCTGGTAAGCTCTGATTTCATCTTTCAATTTTATTTTGAATTTCTTTCTTTGTCTTTTGTTTTATCAGCACCTTGTTTAATTTAAAATAGATTCAATGTCAACAGTCAAGGAGTTAACTCAGGAAACTAATTTATCCAGAAATACAAATATTTTTGCATATATTTTATCCTTTGTTTTAGATCTTTAATATGTAGTTTCTAAAAATGAAATATGGACAGTTTGCTTGATTTCTGAGCATAGTCAATGAATAATTTTACCAAAATAAGCAAACATTTTTCGAGCTTTTTTTTTTTTCCTTGAGACTGAGTCTTGCTCTATCACCCAGGCTGGAGTGGGGTGGTGTGATCTTGGCAAACTGCAACCTCTGCCTTCCAAGTCCAAGCAATTCTCCTGTCTCAGCCTCCTGATTAGCTGAGATTACAGTTGCCCACTACCACACCCAGCTAATTTTTTTGTTTTATTTTATAAGAGAATGGGGTTTCTCATTAGTAATTTTTACAAGTACATATTGCACTACTACTATGTATGATATGTTGGGTTACATAACATATATTATAAACATAAATTCCACCTGTTGCTTTTCACCTTTTTTAGTATGGCTACTAGAAAATTTTAAATTACATATGTGATTCACATTTGTGACTCAGATTATATTTCTGTAGAATAGCATTGTCTTGCTATAATAAAT
>NC_000020.11:29592737-29651590 GCF_000001405.40 Homo sapiens | reverse complement strand
GATTACAGGTGTAAGCCACCACGCCCTGCCTGGAGCATTTGGATATAATGAATCACTGGAGAAACATTTTAATATAATGTTAGACAGCCCATTTAAAAAGAATCCAGTATAATTATTATATTCTTTATATGACTACATTTCACAGTGAAGTAACTTAGCACTCTGTATTTATAATGCTTTGAAAATACATACTAGTTGCTGATTTTATATTCCAAACAGAAATTATAGGACACCATATTATATAAACACAAGAATTCAATATTAATTTTCACACATTAAAACAATAATCTTGGCCCTGCACGGTGGCTTGTGCCTGTATTCCCAGCACTTTGGGAGGTCGAGGCAGGCGGATCACGAGGTCAGAAGATTGAGACCATCCTGGCTAACACAGTGAAACCCCGTCTCTAATAAAAATACAAAAAAAAAAAAAAATTAGCCGGACGTGGTGGCGGGCACATGTAGTCCCACCACTCGAGAGGCTGAGGCAGGAGAATGGCATGAACCCGGGAGGCTGAGCTCGCAGTGAGCCGAGGTGGTGCCACTACACTCCAGCCTGGATGACACAGCGAGACTCCGTCTCAAAAAATAAAACTTTTCAATTTTTAAAATTTTTCTCAAACTACCCATCAGAGAAGTTTAACATCTCCATTTACAGTTCTATGATGTTATACAGAAATATTTTATTTTTTTCCCCAGAACAATATAGGCAAATTCTCTCCCTCTGACTATACACACCTGGTAATGTTATTTTAATTGTTTAAGGGTTTCTATCTCTTCCTATTCTGAATGATTATTCTCTTTTTGAGCTTTCTTACAGTAACCATTTTAAATAGTTTGTAGACAACTTTCTAGATTCCAGGATCCACATTAATCTTCCTGCCGTTGCAGTTTCTGTCTTCTGCAAGAGTCTAGCTTTTATGAGAACAAAATAGTCATATCTTCTTTAAAGAAGAGTTTCCAGTGTAAAGATTAAAAGTTTAAGTTAATTGTAAATGAAAGACTCCAGTTAGAGGAGAAAATATTTCATTTTAAGATGAATGTTTCAGAACACAATTACTATATTGAAGATGAATCTCACTATAGCCACATTAATTATGTCTATTTCAATTTAAGGGGACACAGTAACAAATCTTAGCTCACTGAAAAGAAATCAAATCTGAAACCTGGTGGAGAAGTATGAGCCCTGACCAAGAGATTTTCTTGGAAGACATAGATTGACTTATAGCAAAAGTTATCTGAAGTAGTAAAATCTTACACTTTATTTTTATAAAAAACAGACAATAAAAATATTACTAAATTAATTTTGTAAAATTAATTTTGTAAATTATTTTTGTAAAAATAACATAAAAATATCTGATTAACTTAGATACATAAGTTCTTTAAGTTCCAAAATGAAGAATGAGAGAAGTTTATAGTTTGTCTGACTTTTATTCTTTTTAATACATAATTAATTCCATACATAGAATAATTTATAATATAACTTTAAACATTACATCCTTTGATCAAAAATATACAGATATTCTTAATTTTTCTTCTCATATTTACTTAAATTATTTTTCATTGCTTTAATATTTCTTTATTCACTGGTCCCACAATAGTTCACTAAGTTTGGTATTTCTTGGTTTTGCAAAAAATTTCCCAATTCAGCTCCTGAGCACAATGAGTACTCTTCTCTCCTCTTCCTTTGTATTCTTTTTAGGTCCAACCCCATGGCTTTCCTTTTGTACTCTCTAGGCCAAGAATGTTCTTTCTTATTCCTACCATTTAACCAATATTCATTTTTCATGGCTGTATTAGTCCGTTTTTACACTGTCATAAAAGACTTTCCTGAGACTGGGTAATTTATAAAGGAAAAAAGGTTTAATTGACTCACAGTTCTGCATGCTGGAGAGGCCTCAGGAAACTTACCATGATAGTAGGAGGAGAAGCAGACATGTCTTCTATGGTGGCAGGCAAAGAAGAAAGTAAGCATGTGAAGGAGGAACTGTCAAACACTTATAAACCCATCAGATCTCTTGAGAACTTAACTCATTATCATGAGAATAGCATGGTGGAAGCTGCTCGCATGATCCAATCACCTCCCACCAGGTTCCTTCCTTTACATGTGGGGATTACAATTCGAGATGAGATTTGGGTGGGGACACAGAGCCAAACCAATAGTACCTCTTGGAGAAACATGGCAACATGAAATATTTCACTGTCTACTTTAAGAAATGTTGCACTATTTGTGCATTTTACAATAAATATCTATTGATCTCATAATCTGCAAAACAATATACTATTATTTAAAGTTCTTTTTTGTTTTGTTTTGTTTTTGTTTGTTTGTTTGTTTGTTTGAGACAGTCTTTCTCTCTCACCCAGACTGGAGTGCAGTGGCACAATCTTGGCTCAATACAACCTCCACCTCCCGGGTTTGAGTGATTTCTCATGTCTCAGTTTCACAGGTAGCTGAGACTACAGGCACGTGCCACCATGCCCAGCTAATTTTTGTATTTTTGTGTTTTTAGTAGAGAAGGGGTTTCACCATATCGGCCAGGCTGGCCTTGAACTCCTGTCCTCAAGTGATCCACCCACCTCGGCCTCCCAAAGTGCTGGGATTACAGGTGTGAGCCACCATGCCTGGCCTATTATTTGAAGGATTTAATCTTCTTCCATCCCAACAACAATGGAATTTTTCAATAAATGCAAAAAATTGTATCTTTGAAAAGACAAATAAATTAGATGACAAAAAAGAGAGAGCCTATTAAAATATAACAAGAAAAATGGAAAACTGGATAATAGAAAATTTCAAAAGAATGTAATATGTACCTTTTGGTCATTATATTTGAAAATATATATGAAGAGGTTAATTTTTTAGGGAGAATTTAACTATAAAAATAAATCTAGAGAAATGAGAACATTTGAAGATACCAACAATAGAAAAAAATGAAACTGGTATAAAGTTATAGCACCTTTAAAAGCTCAAGGCCCAGCTGTGTCTCAAGCAGGTCCTCTTAAACTTAATGGAAATGTTAATTCCTGTGTTGTTCAAACTATTCTTTTGGTTAATGGGAACAAAGGAAGCATATATCTCCCTCCATTTATTTCTTAAAACAACTGAAAACCAAAAGAAAAATCAAAATACAAAGAAAAAAACTCCACCAATTTTGTTAAAAATAAACACCATTAAAAATTATAAACCAAACTATGAAGACTAGTTGTTAGTGTCATAACAATTTAGCCTTTCTTCAGAAAATGGTGAGAGTAGATGCAGACACCTGAGCAAATATGGCATGTTAAACACGTAGAGAGACTTATTTTCCCACCTGAAACTATAACATGATGGCAAATGGCTTATTCAAGTGATATAAAAAGAGAAAAGCAACACTTTTGAAAATAGGAAGTCCATAAATGTCTGGTAACTGAGTTAGCTTACCAAAAAGTGCAAAATTGTAAGTAGTGGGGAAATCTGATTCCACAAAATGTTCATAAATTGGTTGCACGGGATACCTCTGAAAGTAGAAGTAAAAGTAGGGCTAAAACCCAGGAAGATTGGTTGAAAGACTGTTTCCAATGCCCACTCCATCAAGCCTCGTGAATGTCTCCAGGTTCTGCTGGTGGAAAAGTAGACATTTGCTGTCTAGAGAGGTAACAGGGAATCTTCGTACTGGCAATATCATCTTCATTGGTCATACATGAATTAGGGGAGCAAAATGAACAGTAACTACTGAAAGCTAGATCTCCCCAATTTTCGCCTCTATCTAGATTCAAAACATTACGCTCAGAGAAGACTGGAAGACTCTAGTTGGAAGATCATGATCAGCCCAAAGGAATAGACCAGTGGATATGTCATGAGGGGCTTTTCTGGGAAAACTTCTCGACCTGATTGCCCTGTCTGGAAGCCACAGTTGACAATTATTACCTAAGAACCTGAAGCTTACCGTAAACGTTTATTGTATTGTTCTTGAACACAAACAGATAACCAACAATCACGAGATTCTAGGTACAGACAATAACAAACACAGAAACAAAAAATAAACAAAACAACTGAAAGTAAACAGAATCTATACAGTGTGGGAAAAATGTAATTATTAATTTCCTCAGAGAGGGAAGATAAGATAATACAACAAGAGCAAGATGTGATATAAAATGGATATTCAAAAAAATAGGATTCTGACAAATTAAGAAATTTATTGCAGAAATATATAACTTAATGGGAGATTTGGAAGGTAAAGCTGACTGCATCTCCAGAAAAGTTAGTGTAAACAGAGTTGGGAATGAGAAAGAGAAAGTTTAATGAATTAAATAATTGGTCCTATAGGGCCACCAACCAAATACAGGCATTTGGGAAAAGAAAAAAATACAATGATATATATAAATAATTTTTGAAATGAGTAAGAGGTAAGTGTATGAATTTCAGATTGAATGTGTCCACCAGAATTCAAGCCAATGGTGAAAATAGACCTAGACCAACACACACACACAGACACACACACACACACACACAGACACAAATCAGCACACCCCAGGAAAAAAAAAAAGAAGACACTTCAAATTTCCAGAGAAGAGAAATAAAAGTGGCCACTAGAAGACAAGCAAAGCCTTACAAATTGCAAAACAAATTATTTCTTTTTTTGTGTGAAATTTTTTTTAATTTTATTATTATTATACATTAAGTTTTAGGGTACATGTGCACAATGTGTAGGTTAGTTACATATGTATACATGTGCCATGCTGGTGCGCTGCACCCACTAACTCATCATCTAGCGTTAGGTATATCTCCCAATGCTATCCCTTCCCCCTCCCCCCAACCCACAACAGTCCCCGGAGTGTGATGTTCCCCTTCCTGTGTCCATGTGTTCTCATTGTTCAATTCCCACCTATGAGTGAGAATATGCGGTGTTTGGTTTTTTGTTCTTGCGACAGTTTACTGAGAATGATGATTTCCAATTTCATCCATGTCCCTACAAAGGACATGAATACTATGCAGCCATAAAACAAATTATTTCTAATGCAGAATAGTATCTCCAACCAAACTGTAAATCAGAAAGGAGGAAACAATAATAAGCATTTACAGCATGGCAAGATTCTAAAACTCTACATCCAATACATCCTATCTCAGGAATTTACTGGAGAAGAGTTTCACTAAAATGAGGAAGTAAACGAAGAAAGGGTAGGGTATAAAGTACAGGGAATCTCCTTGTTGTTAGATGTACAGTATGTGTACACAGCAACCTGTGTAAATTCGAGCTATCTAGAAAAAAAAACTTCAAAAAGATAAATCTGATAAAATGTCTAATGCTTCTGAATGCATTATGAGACTCATTAGAAAACTACGGTAGAATTTGGAGTTGGTACTTTGATACATACACAGAAAAACAAACAAAACAAAAATTTTAAAAAATTGTCAGTTTAAGGGAAAAAATGTTGTGTAGAAATGAAATTCAATAATGTATGCTCCATGTTTCAGGTGTGAGTAACATTTACCTAATTATAACAGTACTAGTGTTATTGGAAAAAGGGGTCCTGATCCACACTTCAAGAGAGGGTTCTTGGGCCTCACACAGGAAAGAATTCAAGATGAGTCACCGAGTACAATGAGAAGAAGACATAGTTTATTGAAAGCTACTGCCTTTTAGAGTAGGGCATCCTCAGAAAGCAAGCGAAGGAATGCACCCTCTTTGTTTTCAGTTTTTCTGTTATAGGAGTTTTGTCTATGTAAAGACTAAATTGGAAACAAAATAACAAGAAGAAGGAATTTATGCATAATCTTCAAATCATGAGGAGTAAAATTCATACAGGACCTATCGCTTAAAGAGTTTCATAGTGGTTGCCAGTGGGCATTTTGTGATGTTTATCAATGTGATTCTTGAATGTAAAAAGGACTACTTATAAGATTTCATATTCTGAATTAATGTGCAGTATATTATGTTAAATTGTAAACCAATTTAAACAATTTTTGAGTTTAAATTAGAAATCTTATTGTTCTATTTATAAATCTAGTACATTAAAAATTATTTTTAAGGGGGACTTTGATTAATGTTTGGTCCATTTACAACTTAGTTAATTAAACTCCCTTAAAGATTTTAATCCACATTTATAAATTTAATATGTTCAATTATCTTTGTGAACATTTTAATTATCGGACTAACAAATAAAGCCTTCAGAGAACTTAAACAACCCTTATAGAGCTAATAAATTCAACTCACAAAATCATGAATCTTAAATTATCTTCAATGTTAAACCACTACTGGCAACTCGGTAAAGCCGCTTATAATTTCAACTAAAAAAAAAAAAAACCAATATCTAAAATACTCTGTTACACATTTAAAATTGGAATGTAAAATGCTAATCTATATTTAAATACTAATACAATTATAAATAAATACCACCTCTCTAAAGTATAAATATTATAGTTTTCATATACTTCATCATCTCTAAACTCTTTTTTCAATGTTTTCCTGGGATAAAAAAAATCATAAAAACAATTATATTATCTTAAGCAAATGGGGTTATCACCTCAGTGAGTTGTGGCTACTTTTTCAGGTTGTTTACCTATCAGAGATTTTGACTGGAAAATGAGATCTGGAGCTTCAGATACTCAGGGTAATTGTTTCTTTTTCCCTCATTAATATGGGAACAAATTCTAACGTTGTAAAAATTATGTTAATAGAGATTCCAAGCCCATGAACTCTAAGTGAAATGGCCATGCAATCCATGTTTTCTAGATCCACGTTGCCTATATCTTTAGCCTGATTTTAATATCTAACCTCCCTACTCTGATTGTTTAGGTACTAGATTAAATTCAAAAATCTATTTACTGTATGATTCTTGACAGAGTTCTTTTTATATTCTTTATACCTGGTGAAGTCATAACTTTTCTAGATATTTAAATGACATACCCATGTATTATTTAATCTCATGTGTATATCTGATTCTGCGGTCACATTTCCCAAGGCCAGATAAATGACTGTAGCTAGACAGATGTAGGACTACGTGTAAAAAGAGATATTCCCACAAATTATATAGTTGCTGTGTAGAGAAAACTCTCTCTGTTTTTCCTCTAGTCTCACACCACAAAGATCAATCAGCAACAGAGAAGACTTCTGTGACCAAATGTGTGGGTTTTTTCCTCCATACATACACCAAGGAGCGGACACCAGCTGAGTGTCCTCTAATTCAGTTCTGACACTACACTGTCTACCTGGAGATAGTGTCAGGTCTCACAGGTCAGTCCCCCAGACTGCCCACCCTCAACCCTACCAGCCACAAGTCCAGGCCTCTGAACTTCTGACCTACTGGCTTCAAGTTGGGTTCTCATGACCCCCTCTTTGGATTTGATTAATTTGTTGGAGTGGCTCACAGAACTCAGGAAAACACTTACATTTCCTGGTGTATTATAAAGGATATTGCAAAGGATATAGAGGAAGAGACACTTAGAGCAATGCATGGGGGAAGGGAGCAGAGCTTCCATGTCATCCCTGGGTGGGCCACCCTCCAGGAACATCCATGTGTTCAACTGCCCAGAAGCTCACTGAACCCTGTCTTCCTGGATTTTCATGGAAGTTTCATGATATCAGCATCCCTCCCTCCAGGGTATAGGGTGGGACTCTCTCCTGAGATGGTCTTAAGACCCACAACCAGAAAGGCAGGAACATAAAAATGAAAAAAGGCCATGAGAAGGTGAGAGTCCTGCTCCTGAGGCCTAACACACCCAATATTATAACAAAAGACTGTAACAAGTGCTAGGGGAGTTATAAGCTAGGAACTGTGGATGAAACCAATATCATCATAACAACACAGTTGCTGAGAAAATATTCACGGAAAATAGACCTACATTGATACTGCCTATTGGCATAATTTACTTTACTGATCTTTTCCTTTACCATTTTAATAAACAGCTCAGACAATAATGAGTCCTATTCGAAGATAATAATAGAAAAGATACCAGCACTGTGCCTGTGTAACATATATTTCATGTTAGAGAAAAGCAACAAAGACAATATAATATTAAAAGACAGAAAAAAATTACATGCCACATTGACTATCATTGAATCACAAAGTGAGTACAAATTTTTAATGCATTGTTTCATTAAATCAAATTCCCCTTCCCGCACCAATACAACTCCTCTGATGTAAGTGACCTAAAAAGACAAAAATAGGTTTTAAAGCAGATATAAGATAAATGCAATATATGTAGTGTGAGTTTAGGGAAAGATAAAAGGGAAAATACCTTTTATCTGAGAAATATATACCACACTAGAAACAGCAAAAATGAAGAATAGATATTTTCAAAATTTACTCAAATAAATGGGTATAAGAAAAAAATTGAGCAAAACAAAATGGAAAAGAATAAATAAGTAACAAGGGTAGAACAATATTTATAGTTGTTTGAAGACAGACAAAGCTGACCTAACATGTTACCATGTATATTTTATCCAGTTTTCCAATTTTGTTTTTATTGCTGAAAGGTTAATTTGGTCAGAGTTATTTCACCATATCAGCAAGTATAATTTTCCAAACTCACACCCCTTACTTTTTGTATCTTATTTTTTATCCTATTATTACATATTTTATAATATTATATATTCTATACTGAACTATACAGTAAATAAAAAATAAAATATGAACACAACAATTTCATAGAAACGGTGAGGGTTTTTTTAATTGAGTCAGAAGTTCATGACTTGAAAATAGAATGATGCAGTAAAGAAATAAACTCAAGAACTCATTTTATGGAAAAAGTGAAAACAATTTGCAACATTAAAATAATTAATCAGAACCTCAATCCAGATTAAGAAGGAATAGAGAACAAATATTCAAATTGGAAGGCAATGAAAATATAATCACAGATATTGATCAAGTAATTAGATAAGATCATTTTCTTAATTTTACAGAAATATATTGGAAACCCTGGATTATATGATTTTTTCCATATGAAAATATAAGTGACCAAAATGACAAGAGTTATAAAATCTCAGTATCTTATTAACGCAGAAAAACATGTTGAAGATATAAAATTCTGAACATTCTCCTCTCAACAAACAGACACCAACTCGTCAACTAGCATTAGGTATATCTCCCTATGCTATCCCTCCCTCCTCCCCCGACCCCACAACGGAAAGCGCACAGGCATGGCACATGTATACATATGTAACTAACCTGCACATTGTACACATGTACCCTAAAACTTAAAGTATAATAATAATAAATAAATAATGAATAAAAACTTTTAAAGAAAAAAATGGGCACCTTTTGCTTATGTGGTTACTAAGGCAAAATTTAAGTCATGATTTTCCTGGACCAGCTCTGAAAAAATGTCTGTTCTGGTTAAGACTGGGTAAAATGGATGATTTGTTTATTCAATAAAGTTATTGAATGCTCACCATGTGCAAGATACAGTGTTGAATGTGGTGCAAAATATAAAGATGTGGAGGAAAAAGCCACTGAAAATAATATGAGGAAATAAAAAACTAGAGTAAGTTATCAGTGAAATAATTTCTATTATACAAGACACTACACCCATACATTCTCCTAATGCTCATGTAAGAATTTCTCCAAAAATACCTTCCAGCACTACAAACTAGAAGAAAAAAGAGACATGGATACCAAATTAAGTTCTTAATAGTGAAGAATAAAAGTGACTACATTGCCTGCTCCAGTGGATCCAGCAACAGCCAACAACTGTCCTCTTTCTATCTTGAAATTAATATCTTTCAGGACAGGAGCACCAAGAAGTGAGAAATTACTGAAGAAGAGGCTGTCATCACCATTAAAAGTTTTTCTATTTTTATTGTTTTGTTTTGCTTTCTCAAATAATTCCCCAAATCCCTGTTAAAAAAAAACACACACACACCCATCAAAAATAAAAGATGAGTTTGTCAGAAAAAAAAAAAAACAGACAAATCAGCAGGCATGAACATTTTCAAGAAGAAATGTATCAAGACATGGAAGTACTGATAACTCAATCCTCTTTAAAGTTTTCCTCTTCTAATTCTAGCTATGACAAGTTAATTTATATCAGGCCATCCCACCTGGCAAGAACAATTATGAAAGCTGGATAAAATTAATTAAAAATAAGTAGCTATTTAAGGGCTTCTGATAGCAATCAAAGCATCCAGAACTTGAGTGTGTAAGCTCCCAGAAAGAGGTGAAACACATTGAATTGGTTTCAACATTCTCCACAACCTTTCATTTGGATACATTTGCTGAGCAGATAGCTAAGAAGAAAATGGTAGCTCAGAGATGTTAGAAATCTGATAGGCCTGCATAGACACAAAATGGAATTCATGACTATCATGGTGGCCAGGGCTTGATAAAGGGCCAGTAGAAACAAAACAATTTCGTTTTGTTTTTCCTTCACAACATTTTCTGATTCTTTAGTTGCAGAAGGTGAGCAACTAAGAAGCTTAGCATAAAATGGAGCTACCTGACTAAAAGGAAGTTAAGCAGACCTCTCAGCAAAAGGATAGACAAAATTGGAGTTCAACAAGGAACAGAGGACCTAGAAATCTCCCTAGGCATTGAGACCCCTAAAAAGCTAATCCCTAGCTGAAAAGGCAAACTAGAAATGCAGCAGCTGCCACAAAGACTGAAATCTAGCCTCAAGGCATTTCAGCCTGATTGGACCAAGAGAATCTACCTCTAAGTGAGAAGAAAACTACAATTTCTTTGGAGGGAGATCCCATCTAAAGACTTTTTCTCTTAGGTCAATGTCTGGCTTTTGATCATAAATAACCAGGCGTATCAGTCAGCAGGGCTAAATGATGCATGCACACACATGTGCGTGCACACACAAACAGAGCGAGAGTGACAGTGAGAGGGAGAGGAGAAATCCATAACTTTAAATGTTTCCATGTACAGAAAATAAAAATACTTCCAAATATATTTATGAATAAATATTGTATTTACACTAATAAGTATTGTATTTATACTAAACTTGACCAAAGCTGAACACATGTGTTCTCTTCCCATCCCTTTCCCTTCGTCTCTCTCATATACACTACACACAATAAAATACAGGCCTATTCCACTAATAAATATTACTGCAAATATTCTAAAGCTGTACTTTACACTTAAAAGTTGCAATCCCATTAAAACCATACTTCATAATCAAGTAGTGTTCATGTTAGTAAGCAAGAATGGATGCCTATTAGGAAATAGTTTACTATAATTTATCATGTTAATAGAAAAACAATAATCTCCAGAAACTTCAACATATATTACCAATTAAATAATATTAATAGAATAGTATTATAATGAGATAGATGTAATTTAATCCAAAATTCAGAATTTATGTGATGGTGTTTGGGTACAGGGCCTTTGGGAAGTAACAAGGTTTAGATGATGTCATGAGGGCAGGGTTCTCATGATGGAATTAGTTCCCTTATAACATAGACACCAGAGAGCTTGCTCTCTTTCCCTGCAATGTGAGGACAGAGTAAGAGAACTGGACTGTCTGCAAGAGAATGCTCACCAGATAGCAAACATTCACAGATCCTGATCTTGGAATTTCCAGCCTCTAGATGTGTAAGAAAATACATTTCTGTTTAAACCACTCAGTCTGTGGTATTTTGTGATGGCAGTTCAAGCAGACTAAGACAAATAATGACACCATTCATGATTGTTCCCGTCTACCAGTCACCAAAACAAGTTCTAACAAGATTAAAGAATAAATGCCCCCAAAAGGTAAACTTAAAGCCTAAAAATTAGAATAAATTGTAAATAAAGATTAAAAATATAACTGGAGGCAATCAAAAATATATATATATCCTAAGGAGATTGTTAAAGCTATATGAAAAATGTATGCTAAAAATCTCATTGGAGCACTATTCATAAATCTAAATAATTGTAAATAATAACTATGGTTATGTTGATTATGGTAAATCCATATATGTTAACATAATGTGGTAATTTGTACATGTTTATAAAGCATTCTTGTATATTAGCAAAACAATTTGAAGTGTCAAATTAAAAATCCTGAATACAAAATTACATGTAAGTTATAATTCCAAGTATGTTTGAAAAATTACATATAAAAATAATGGAAGTAAATGCAACAAACTATTCATAGTAGAATTTTATTTTACAGCAACTCAAAATAATGAAACAAATCCTCTGGCTTACAACTTTCAACTGGGTATTGTGATTTTCTTACTATTCCATTCAGTAGGATACAGGTGGCATGATTGTATTCTCAGTTTGTCAGTGTTCTCTTGGCATTATTATTAATAATGTCCCTATCAGTTTCACAAGTTTCCTGGTTTGCAGAATAAATTATATGGTTATCTGAGATATGGGAAACCTAATTTTCTTCCCTCTTCCCCAGTAATAATCTATACAATTCTGGACAACTCACCTATCCATAAAACAATTTGATCTCTACCTTAAAATAGATATATCTCTGCTACTTAACTTCATAGAAATATTGTAAGGATTAATGAGGAGATGCTTGGAAAATACTTTGAGCTCATCAGAGAAAAGTGCTATGATATTGCCACTAATAAATTTGTTTACTAGCTTGCTGAGTAGAAAGTCAAGGGAAATCAAGATGTTGTGGGTATCAGCGACAAAACCAAATCAATCATGCATGTTCTAGCAGCCCATTTTATATAAGTTCCCCAGAGTAGAGTAGCTAGTGAACATAGAAATTCTCCAAAAAAAAAAAAATATATATATATATATATAGGAACATAGAACTTCTCCATATATATATATATATATATATATAATCTATATATATAACTAATTAGAAAAATTAGAGACACATAGGCTAAATTTTGACTCTATACAGGCTATTCAGTTAGCAGTTATGAGTAAATGTATTGAACTTCTCTTTCTTTGTGAAAATATTGTGTTCCATCAAGCACTAACCATATGGAATGTTTGGAAGTTGAACAAAGACTGTTCATTAAGCTTGAAAGGGACAGATCTGAGCCAGCCAGCACTTTGTAACCTGGCAGTCAGGCCTCAAAATCAAGCCTATTATTTTAGTAGGCCAATTAAGTTTTTTAGAAACTCAGTGGAAAGGTGGCATCTTCACACATTTTCAGCACCTTATAAATTAGGTACCTTTGCCTGGCACTAAAATATCCTTCTTGAACTTAAAAATCAAAATCAATAAATCAATCTACTTCTCAGGCAACAAAAAAGCAGGTGAAAGGCAACAATGGGACAGATTAAACTTCTAGCAATGAATCCCAAATATACAGGAGCCTTAGTTTGATTAAGATGACAAAAAAACACCTGGAGGAAGGACACTCAAGTCTGGCTCATGGTCTCTTTGTTTTTCCTAAAATCTACATCCCTTGCATCAACTACAGTACTATAGTCGATGATTTGAAATTGAAGCATAATATCTTATTTTTTCTGACATTGCAAGTATATAACAGATCACAAAGTTTTTTTTCTTTTTCTTTTTTTATTATTATTATACTTTAAGTTTTAGGGTACATGTGCACATTGTGCAGGTTAGTTACATATGTATACATGTGCCACGCTGGTGCGCTGCACCCACTAACTCGTCATCTAGCATTAGGTATATCTCCCAATGCTATCCCTCCCCCCTCCCCCCACCCCACAACAGTCCCCAGAGTGTGATGTTCCCCTTCCTGTGTCCATGTGATCTCATTGTTCAATTCCCACCTATGAGTGAGAATATGCAGTGTTTGGTTTTTTGTTCTTGCAATAGTTTACTGAGAATGATGATTTCCAATTTCATCCATGTCCGTACAAAGGACATGAACTCAACATTTTTTATGGCTGCATAGTATTCCATGGTGTATATGTGCCACATTTTCTTAATCCGGTCTATCATTGTTGGACATTTGGGTTGGTTCCAAGTCTTTGCTATTGTGAATAGTGCCGCAATAAACATATGTGTGCATGTGTCTTTATAGCAGCATGATTTATAGTCCTTCGGGTATATACCCAGTAATGGGATGTCTGGGTCAAATGGTATTTCTAGTTCTAGATCCCTGAGGAATCGCCACACTGACTTCCACAATGGTTGAACTAGTTTACAGTCCCACCAACAGTGTAAAAGTGTTCCTATTTCTCCACATCCTCTACAGCACCTGTTGTTTCCTGACTTTTTAATGATTGCCATTCTAACTGGTGTGAGATGGTATCTCATTGTGGTTTTGATTTGCATTTCTCTGATGGCCAGTGATGATGAGCATTTTTTCATGTGTTTTTTGGCTGCATAAATGTCTTCTTTTGAGAAGTGTCTGTTCATGTCCTTTGCCCACTTTTTGATGGGGTTGTTTGTTTTTTTCTTGTAAATTTGTTTGAGTTCATTGTAGATTCTGGATATTAGCCCTTTGTCAGATGAGTAGGTTGCAAAAATTTTCTCCCATTTTGTAGGTTGCCTATTCACTCTGATGGTAGTTTCTTTTGCTGTGCAGAAGCTCTTTAGTTTAATTAGATCCCATTTGTCAATTTTGTCTTTTGTTGCCATTGCTTTTAGTGTTTTCGACATGAAGTCCTTGCCCATGCCTATGTCCTGAATGATATTGCCTAGGTTTTCTTCTAGGTTTTTCTTTTTCTTTTTCTTTTTTTTTTTTTTTTTAGAGGAAGTCTTGCTCTGTCACCCAGGCTGGAATGCAGTGGCACGATCGTCACTGCAAGCTCTGCCTCCCGGCTTCACGCCATTCTCCTGCCTCAGCCTCCTGAGTAGCTGGGACTACAGGCGCCTGCCACCACGCCGGGCTAATTTTTTCTATTTTTCAGTAGAGACGGGGTTTCATCGTGTTAGCCAGGATGGTCGCGATCTCCTGACCTCGATCACAAAGTTGATTATCTTTTCACTTGTCAAGTTCTTACACTGTCTATCTAAAATTCGTATCTTGACCTTTCATGTCTGTCTTCAAGAACAAATCATCTCTCTTCCCACTCTCTGTCAATTTGATCTCTTTCTCTTTGCTTTGTTCTGGAGGAGAGAAAGGTGTATCTGTATTATTTCCTTCTTTATCCTAATTAAACAGCTGTTCTTGAAGAGTGGTGAGCAGTTCTTTATGCAAAGGAGAACTGGTTACTTAGTTTTGTACGATTTACAAAAAAAGTAAGAAAATGCTGAAAACCGGTATCTTAAAATATTCATTTTATTCAATTTTATTTTAATTGGGCACAGATATAAGGGAATATTTTTAGTTGAATAAGGGATAACAATATTTTGTTATAAATCCTCAAGAATATTTATACCTTAAAATTGTTTTTATATTTCTGTTTCTATGGCATTCAAATGGGCAAAAATTTTTCTAGAATTTAGACAGATTTACAAATAATTGCATAAATATGTCTAGAAATTGAAAAATTAAAAGAAAAATACAACAATGAGAAACTGAATTGAACTTGAAAAATACCTTAATTGTGAAAACCAAACTTTCATAGTATTATTTTAATGTTTTCTGATTTGCCTTTTGGGAATTCTTGCCTTCACTGTGTTTTTTTCCTTAGATTTTCTCTACATACTGTTCACAAAATTCAGTTAAAATCTATTTTAGAGATTGTCTAGGGAAAGGGCTGCATGCTCAGTCATTGACTGTTACTTACTTTGGTACAATTAGGCCTATTAAATTTGAGTTCATTGTATTTGTGCTTCTCCCCACACAGGCTGACTATTCGTAGCTGTTCCTGCTTGGAATACATATTGGCTTAATTAATCAGTACTATTTGGAATTCTGTGAAAACGCAAACTAATTATGAACTTCCTCTGATAAGAGACAATTTTGGCTCCTGATTATTTGCTTTTCCCTACATTTATATAACAGCAATCTCATAAAATTGAGCATTAGACCAGCATGTTATTGATTTGCACATTAGGCAATTTGCACCTCTGAATTGCTTTCCTTTCTGATATCCTCAGATGCAAAATCTTGAAAAAGAGCATGCAGTCAGACCTTTATTTGATTGTTTGATAATTGTTTTTCCTCTCTGTTTCCATTAGCATTATTTGTGGAGACCATAGCAGTGGGAGTTCTTGTCACAGAAGTCTTGTGACCTCTGTGTTTGGTAGCTATAGACTGCAATGAGTTTATCTCTTCATAGGGGAAATTAAGAAGAGATTACTGCTACCCACTACCCAAGCTCTGGTTTTCTTTACAAAGTTTCTGCATAAATCACAACTACATAGCTTCAATGACGGACCTAACTCTTGCTTGGAAGAGTGGCAGCAGAGTTGATGGTCATGGATTTAAGCTAAAGTCTCATCACTAGTTTATTTATAGTAAACACTCTGGGGGAGACTTTTAGTGCTAGATTCTGTGCTAGACTCTGGTGTTGAAATATGTGTCAGCTATGGCCTCAGCTCTCAAGGCATTAGTTGTGTTTGTGTGTATTGTGTGTTTTGAGGGAGGTGTTAGGTGTTGGTTGAAAGAATGAGGAAGGGGAGCAAGATTTGAGGAGAAAACAAACATGCACACGTACATGGTTTCATTAAATAATCTGCACTTCTGAATTGTCAATACATCCATCTGATTCAGTCATAATTGAATTAGTATCATCCTGAGCGGCGGTGGAAAACATTGAATATTTTTTTTCACACTGAAGCCAGAACTCTTGGGTACCATAACGCAGCAATATTGTTTGCTGGCTGTCACTTAAACTCACAAAACAACTCTGTTTTATCATCTATAATAAATACAGACACAATATTATGTTTTATATGTATGTATATATCTTGCAAAATTATTGTGATGATGAAAAACGAAATGTAATACACACTGAATAATGCATAGTAGATGGGAAGCACTAAATAAATGGCTATGTAAGCAGTGATTCCTCTCTTTGTTATCTTCATTATTACAATTTCTACATAGGTTTCATTTCAGGGATTTTTATAGTAATGACTTTGCTTATTTTATAAAAATACTTCATGCCAAAGAGTACAAAGAAAACAAAATAAATCACCCCAAATTTTCAGAAACAACCAATGTTAACTGTTGGTGGTATTCATTTGGGTGATTTTTGTTTGTTTGTTTCTTCTTTGCACTTTTTGGTATTTTTCAAGTTTAAAAGGAATAAGCACATACAATTATTATAATAGCTGTAAAATAGTTATATGTGTTTCAAATTTCATACTCCAAAAAGTTTAGATATAGATGGAAGATACATAACTATATGTATAGTGAGATAGAGAGCTAGCAGAATAGATAAAAAATAATTTTATAATAAAAGAATACTATATCTACTTTTTTTAATTGGAAGTATTAAATTTATCTACGTGACTGCATTATTTCCTAAAAGGTCACATTTTTTTAAAAAAATTTAAAAAACATTAGAAGATTGCATCATTATAATTTATTTCTTAAATTTTAATTACATGTATATCTATGAATAATTTATGCATAAACATATATATGTAATGTCAAATCCTAAGAAAATGTATACACCTTAGGGAATTATCACAAAACAAACACCTTCACAACTACTACTCAGAATAACTTTTTTTTTGCGAAATAGATTACTACTCCTTGATTTGTCTTCAAAGATACCCACTATTTGGAGTTTACTTTTCTTAATGTTTTGATATTTATATACCCATTCTGTGGTAGGCCAATAATGCCTCTGAAAGGCATGTCCAAGTGTTAATCCATGGAGCCTGACTTTATTTGAAGTAGGGCATTTGCAGATGTATTTAAGATATTTGAGGCTGGGCACAGTGGCTCATTCTGTAATCCCAGCACTTTGAAAGGCCGAGGCAGGTGGATTCACCTGAGGTCAGGAGTTCGAGACCAGCTTGGTCAACATGGTGAAAAGCCCGTATCTACCAAAAATACAAAAGTTAGCTGGGTGTGGTGGTGGCGGCACCTGTAATCCCAGCTACTCGAGAGCCTGAGGCAGGGAGAATCACTTGAACACAGGAGGCAGAGGTTGCAGTAAGCCAAGATCGCACCATTGCACTCTAGCCTGGGTGGCAGAGCAAGACTCTGTCTCAAAAAAAAAAAAAAAAAAAAGAAGAAGAAAGAAAAAAGAAATTTGAGAGGAGATCATCCTGGGTTATCTGAGTGAGCCCTAAATGCCATCACAAATGTCCTTGTAAAAAGGAGACAGAGGGAGCAGAAGGCAATGGAACAATAGAAACGGAGAAGTTTGAAGATGCTGTGATGCTGGCTTTGAAAATAGAGGAAGGCCCACAGGATGGAAGAGGCCATGAATGGATTATCTTTTGGAGTCTCCATTGAGAATATAGCCCTTCTGCCATCTTGACTTTAGGTCAGTGAAACAAATGTTGTACTTCTGGTCTCTCTAACTGAGAGAGAATAAATTTATCTTGTTTAAAATCACTAAGTTTGTGATAAGTTGTTACAACAGCCCCAGGAAACAAATACACACCCATTTATTTTATTTTACTGCTTAACATTATGTATTGTGAGTTTGACCTATGTTGTTACATGTAGTTCTAATTTGTTCATTTTCATTGCTGAATAATATTCAATATGCAATTTTAAAAATTCATCTTTTTTTAAACAAATAATGCTGCTATGTACATCCTTGCTTGTATCTGGTGGTATAAATATGTAAGTGGGTAGCTGCATCCATTTACTTTTTCTCCAACAGTCTATGAGAATTTCCCTTGTTCTGTATCTTCATTTGTAATCGTTATTGTTAGTCTTTTAATGTTAGACAAACTAGTATGTGTAGAATGGTATGTCATTACAGTTTTAATTTAAATTTCTCTAACAAATAATGAGCCATTTTCATCAGGACTGAGCCTTGGGTGAAGCAAGAGAGGCACCTAGGGTACAAAATTTAAGGACGTGTTTATTCCCTTTCTTTTCTGTCCTTGTTTGTGATGAATTATTTCTACTTTATCAAACAAAATTGTAATAGGTATACAATTGATTTTTGCTTTTTGTGCATTTGTTATAAATCCAGTCACCTTACCAAACTGGCTTTTATTTCTAATTGTTTGTAGATAATTTTTGACATTTGTACATAGCCATGCCATCTCCAAAAAAGCATTTACTTTCCTTTTCAATATTTACAAATTTAACTTCTTTTAATTGCCTTATCCCACTAGCTGGGGCCACTATAAATCTTTTATACTTGTTTTGATGTCTACAGAAACTGTAGTGATGTCCTCTCCTTTGTTAATTTCTCACACTGGTAATTTCTGGTCTTTCTTTCTGTCTCACTGTTTATCTTTCTGTCACTCTCTTCCCCTCTTTCTCCGTGTGTATGTATGTGTGTGTGTGTGTGTGTGTGTGTGTGTCTGTATAAAAGAGTTTAAATATACGGAGAGTCCTTGACTTAATGATGGTTTGACTTACAATTTTTTGACTTTACAATACTGCAAAACAATCACAATTTCAAAATAATGTACCATATTCAATACACTACATGAGAGATTCAACACTTTCTGATAAAGTAGGCTTTCTGTTAGATAATTTTGCCCAATTTTAGGCTAATGTTAGTGCACTGAGCATGTTTAAGGTAGGTTAGGCTAAGCGATGATGTTTGGCGGGTTGGGTATACTAAAAGCATTTTCTACTTATGATATTTTCAATTATATTGGGTTTATCAGGATGTAACTCTATCATAAGTTGAGGAACACCTGTACTATAATTATGCAATTATAAAGAGGTTCATTATTTTTTTCCAGGCAAAACTTTTTTTTTGTTGATTTTTCTCTTATATGTCTGTTGTATTAGTCAGTTTTCAAATTACTATAAAGATACTACCTGAGACTGGGTAATTTATAAATAAAAATGATTTACTTGATTCACAGTTCTGCATGGCTGGGGAGGCCTCAGGAAACATACAATCATGACAAAAGGTAAAGGAGAAGCAATGCACATCTTACATGGCAGCAGGAGAGAGAGCAGGAAAAACTGCCACTTTTTTTTTTTTTTTTAAGACAGAGTCTTGCTGTGTAGCCCAGACTGGAGTGCAGTGGTGTGATCTCGGCTCACTGCAACCTCCACCTCCCAGGTTCAAGTGATTCCCCTGTCTCAACCTCCTGAGTAGCTGAGATTACAGACGTGTGCCACTATACCCGCTATTTTTTTTGTATTTTTAGTAGTGATGGGGTTTTGCCATGTTGGCCAGCGGGTTTTGAACTCCTGATCTGAAGTGATCCACCCACCTCAGCCTCCCTAAGTGCTGGGATTACAGGTGTGATCCATTGCACTGGACAAATCTGCCACTTTTAAAACCATCAGATCTCATGACAACTCCCTCACCATCACGGAATAGCATGGAGGAAACCACCCCCATGATCCAATTACCTCCCACCAAGTCCCTCCTTCAACACGTGGAGATTACAATTAAAGATGAGATTTGGGCAGGGACAGAGTGCCAAACCACATCATCCTCATTTTTTTCAATAATTTCTTCATCATATCTCATCATGTATTTATTTACATGTATTTTTAAATTGAGTACTAGGCATTATATATGAAAAACTGAGAGTAATTTGAGGCCCTGGAAATGTTAACATTCTCTACAGAGGAATTACATTTGCTCTTTGCAGTAAGCTAAGGACACTAGCAGGTTACTTTAATGCATCCATAATTGTACAGATAATCAGACACTAGGATTATGTCCCCGAGTGGGCTGGTCTTTATCGAGTGTAGTCCTTGCCCCCACCTCAAAGCCTGGAGGGTACTGTGCTCCAATTCTCCCCACCATATTCCCTTGCACACTCACAGTTACATGCATTTTGCTGCCAAAAGTATTCCTTAGTTTTGCAATCTATTTTTTAACTTCCTAGAATCAGTAAAAATCTTGAGCTGAAAAGTGATGCTCAATGCCAAGCTCATCTCTTGGATCTGGGCTTTGCAATTTTCCATGGTTTTGTTAACACTTAGTGTCTCAAAGAAAATTTTGTTGTGTTCCATGGGAGAATTGATATCAATTACAAATCTGCAGTTACTGGTAGAAGTTCCTGTGGTTTCTATTTTACCTTCAGATTTTATTTTTAGACTGCTCCAGTCTACATCTTTTTATAAGAGGTTATGTGAGGACAGTTTTTTTTTAATTCTCTTCTGCAACCTCTGGAGTTTTGTAACTTGCATTATTCTTGTTTTACTAAAATTTATGACTTTTTTTCTGTAGACTGCAAGAAGTTTTCTTTAGTTGCTTAATCTATGTGCTGTATTTATAGGACTTATTGTTCATCTGTCATTTCATAAAATGTCTCTTTTTACTTTCTCCTTATTTTGGCTCATTCTTTGGCTAGATTTTTGGGGTGATGTTATCTGAGTTCTCTTATGTCTATTTGTTGCTTGAATGACCCTTCAGGTTTTACATAATTTTTTCAGCCATCCTTTTATTTTCTTAAGAATGTCCTGGTAACATGTTTCCTCTATAAATCTACATCCAAATCCTTCCTTAATTTAAGGAATCACTACATGATAGTGAACGTTTAATTCTCTTTTATTCCAATTTGAGTTATCAATGTCAGTGCCAATTATTCTTTTTCAAGATATCATTGTCTGCACTCTACACATTATCTTGTTTATAATGACTTGAATCATTTTCGTTTATTAACACACATAGCTACACTCCCCCCAGAGGAATAGGAAACTCACATATGCAAAAGAAAATCCATGGGAACACCCACAACACAATTTATCCATCATCCAGTATTAGTGAGTAAAGGCTCTTGGAATAAGAGTTTTCAACACAAATAGAATATGAAAAACTATAATATGCATACAAAATGTGAGAGGACTTGGACATTTAAAAAACAACTTCAAGTTGAAAACTAATGTGTAGACTATCTAGCAGAAAAGATATAGGTGGAATTGATGAGCATAAAATTATTAAATAAAAACAAAAAATAGAGTACATGATAAATATTTTCAAAGTATGGTATCTGAAAAGGCTAATACAGTACACTTTTGACAATTTCCAAGAAAAGTAGAAAGAAAGAAGGAAATTTTTAAAATAGATAAAGACACTACACCTACAGATATGAAGAAATTTTAAAACCTCAAGCTGTAGTCATTAAATATGATTATTATCTGAATTTTAAATGTACGCACTCTTTGACTCACCCTTTGACTCTACTGTTATCATCTCTAGCAGATGCTCAGTAGTCTGATAGGATCAGTAACAACACAGCACCATTGCCAAGCCACATTAGAAGCATGAAGTGAAAGAAAACCTCAGTAATATTGATTTTGTCTTTATTTAAAATGTTAATATGTTGTTCATCATGGATTTCCTGCATTAATTTTGATTTAATAAAATATTACATTATCATTTACCTTGATTACTGAGTTTATTTGACATCCATTTAGGTTCCTCACCTGAGGCAGCAAGGGCTTCACGTTCTTCACTCTGAGTCAGGACCTGCACAAGACCTAAAAATTTTACATTTATGTCCACTTAGGCAGTTGAGGTCTTGCCTTCTAAGTTTCTCTATAGTTCACTATGAAGAAATGGTGTTTATGTAGGGAGAGGGCTACACTCTCATAGTGCTAGTTCCAGGAAGATGCCCATGTGCCCCTGATAGCACTACAGAGTTTAGCAATTTCTGCCTTCACTGCTTATTTTACTTTTTCTCTTCCTCAGTTTGTCTCCCTTCCAGAGAGCCAGGTCATGGGCACTGGAACTAGATGAATAAGGATTGAAAACCCACTTATGTAAACTTGAATGGGTTATTTTACTTGTCTGAGTCTCAATTTTCTTATATATTGAGTATAATTTTTTAATTTATAAGATTCTTATATAAATAAATATGTACAGAAAGTCCATCATACACCTAGTCCACAGCATGGACTTAATAAATTTCATTTATCTTTTCAACTCTATTTCTGCTTCCCATTCTTCAACTTACTACTACAAAGCTAATCCATTAGCTAGTATATAGTAGAAACTGAAAAAAAATTGAAATGCATTTCTTTTATTGCTATAATCACAAATACGTTACATAGACATACCTCAATGCTAGAGTTCATCCATTGAGTTGGTTCAGTTATATTTAATATTAGTTTAATATTTCAAACAGAGCAAAAATAGTTTATTAGTTACTTATAATAGTTGGAGGAAAGTAATCAATAGGCTTCTTAGAAACACTGTGATTCCTGATCGAAACCCCATTCTTCAGTGAAATTGTTTTGATAATGTATAAAATTTCAGAAATTTATATTTTTCTTCTAAAATCTCAGTGTATTTAGTTAAGAGAAATAAAAATAACTTTAGCTGACTTTATAATATATGAAGTTTATTTTAAACCTTTGTCTTTAAATGAAAAAAATAATGTTATTAGAGGTTTTATACTTTTCTGTATATAACATCAGGCTAATTTTCACTAGACTGTAAATATTCTTATATGGACAGGCAAATCAGTACTGAATATACAATATATTTTCTTTTCTATGGATTGTGCCTAAATTACATCAGTTTAGAACAAACACGCTTAATTAAAGCCAATAAATTCAGGTGTTCTATGATTGTTATACTTTTTTGTTTTCAATGAAAAATAGCCAGACCTGTTCACTGGGGCTTGTTGTAATTATGGAATTAATGTGAATAAGCTATCATTTGATGTTCCACCAAGAAAATGTTTTTGCATTTTAAAGAGCTTTAAGATTTCTTATTTGAGTTAGTGTCCTTTGAATAATGGCTGAGAGAACAGTTTTTTTTTTTCAATTACACAGGTATTTCTTCATCTATTTAGAGGCTCTGAGGTCAGACTAGATTAAAAACGCACACACGCATTTGTCTCAAGTAATGGTGGAAAGTTACCTCCTTGGTGACTACAGTGTGCAAGATTGTGTGTGGTTTGGTTTCTAATCTTTCATTTCTTTCCAACATGAAAAAATAACCTTCCTCAGGCAAGAAAAAAAAACATTGTACTTGGGGAGTTGCCTTTGATCAAAGAAAGGGGCAATAGCTCTTTCCTGAAAATGGTGACAAGAATGAAAAATGGAAGGAAAGATCGATTTTAACTAGAAGTAATGATTTTGGGGGAGGAATAGGGAGAGTATATGGAAGGAAACAAGGAAGGAAACTGAGAGTAGCAGTCACTGATGCCAGTTTGTGAAAGGGATGAGGCTGACCAACATGCCTTGAGGCCATATCAGAGGATTTTAGTTTTCATATAAAATATTTATATTTCCATCTTTTTTTCCTATATTACGAGGGCAATCAAAAGAAGAATTTTGGCTTTGTACAGAATTTTCTTCTGTGTTGACGAAGTAAAAATGCCAAGTATATTCACATTTTCAAGGTTTTACTGAGAATAAAGTTTATACCTAGAAATGATTTTAATACAAGCAATGGGCTATTCTAGGAAAACAAAACGGAGAGAGATGGTCTAAGAGGAATGATGTAGCAGAATTAACATAAATGCTGCTATGCTTTTGTTCTGTGTCCCTACCCATTCCCACGTGTTGAAGGAGGGAAGTGATAGGATTATGCGGCGGGGGGATTTCTCCCATGCTGTTCTCCTGATAGAGAGTCTCACGAAATCTTTTGGTTTTAAAAGAGGCAGTTTTTTCCTGTGCTCCTACTTCCCTCTCTTCTGCCACCTTGTGAAGAAGGTGCCTGCTTCCCCTTCACCTTCCGCCATGATTGTCAGCTTCCTGAGGCCTCCCCAGCCATGCAGAACTGTGAGTCAATTAAACCTCTTTTCGTTATAAACTACCCAGTCTCACGTAGTTCTTGACAGCAGTGCAAAACCGGACTCATACAAATAGAAAAGATATTATCAATTTCATCCTCCCCAGAACTTTCATGTTTTCACTAGATTTATGAGATATATTTTTCAATCTCCTTGAAAATCAACACAAGCCCTTCGTTATCCAGTCTCATTATAAAATAAAGTATTTGTTTTATATTGGCACCATGACAATTTAAAGTAAATTAATGGCTTCAGCAACATAAATTATTATCTCACACTTCTGTAGGTCTGAAGTCGCAGTGGGCTCAACCAGCTCCCCTGTTCAACATCCGGCAAGGTCCAAACGAAGGTGACAATCAACAGGGATCTTATTGGGAAGCTCTGGTAAGAGTACATTTCCAGATTTATTAAGGTTGTTGGCAGAATTTAGTTGTTTGCAGTTGTATCACCATTCCCAGTATCTTGTACAGTTATACGTCATTGTTTTCTTGCCTGTGTCAACTGGTGGTTGCTGGTGTCAGCTCCTAGTAACCTGTCTCCAGACTTCCTATGTGAGCCTCTACATCGCAAAACCAGCAATGACGCCTCCGAACCTTCCCTCTGCCAAGCCTCTCTTTCTCCAGCTGAAGTATGTTCTCTGCTTTTGAGGGGTCATATGATTAGATTGGGTTCACCTGGATACTTAAAGATGCTTGCCCTATCTTAAAGTTTGTAACCTTAGTTACAGCTACAAAGTCCATTTTGCCATATTCACAGATTCCAGGAATGAGGATGTGGACATCTTTGGGAGGCTACTGTGCATACCACAAATACTAATCTCACAATAATCTGTTTATGGCCAATTTTTTGGCCATTACTTCACTGAAATTCATACTCTGCATTTTGTTAAGTATTCAGTCTCTGAGCTGAAGTACAGTAATACAGAAAAACCTAGATGATTCAAAATGAAAAACATTGATAGAGTAAAAAGAATATCAGAAATCATTGGTTTTTGAGACTAATGTGCGAAAGTTTACTTTTCCATACTTTTTGATAGCATTTTTTCCTTGTTTTTAATTTTGGTATACTTTAGATAAGATGAAATGCACAATTTTTAAATCATTATTCAATGACTTTTGATAAAAATACATGATAGAGCCACTCACAGCCCATAGAACATTGACATTACCTCAGAAATTTCTCATGCCACTTAATAATCAATTCCCGTCACCCTCCAGCCATTATTCTTGTTTCTATCACTACAGATTGATCTTGCCCATTCTGAAACTTTATATGGATGTGATCATACAATACATACTTTTGGTGTCTTTTTTTGTAGTACTTTTGAGTAGTTTCCAATTATTTGACTATATCACAGCTTTTACAACCCATTTTCCAATTTTGCGGGCCTTTGAGTTCTCTTCAGCTTGGGGTTATCAAGAATAATTATACTGTTATCTTTATTTCTGTTAGGCTTGAAAATATTTCATAATCATGTATTCTTAGAATAATTTGCAATTTATTTATTTAAGCAGTCATATTGATTTTTAGGTAAATATATTTTTTATTTAAATTTTAGGGTACATGTGCACAACGTACAGGTTTGTTACATATGTATTCATGTGCCATGTTGGTGTGCTTCCCCCATTAACTCATCATTTGCATTAGGTATACCTCCTAATGCTATCCCTCCCCCCTCCCCGCTACCCCACGATAAGCCCTGGTGTGGGATGTTCCCATTCCTGTGTCCAAGTGTTCTCATTGTTCAATTCCCACCTACGAGTGAGAACATATGGTGTTTGGTTTTTTGTCCTTGTGATAGTTGGCTGAGAATGATGGTTTAAAGCTTCATCCATGTCCCTAGAAAGGACATGAACTTATCATTTTTTATGGCTGCATAGTATTCCATGGTGTATATGTGCCACATTTTCTTAATCCAGTCTATCATTGTTGGACATTTGGCTTAGTTCCAAGTCTTTGCTATTGTGAATAGTGCTGCAATAAACATACGTGTCTTTAGCATGTGTCTTTATAGCAGCATGATTTATAATCCTTTGGGTATCTATCCAGTAATGGGATGGCTGGGTCAAATGGTGTTTCTTGTTCTAGATCTCTGAGGAATCACCACACTGACTTCCACAATGGTTGAACTAGTTTACAGTTCCACCAACAGTGTACAAGTGTTCCTATTTCTCCATATCCTCTCCAGCACCTGTTGTTGCATGACTTTTTAATGATCACCATTCTAACTGGTGTGAGATGGTATCTGATTGTGGTTTTGATTTGAATTTCTCTGATGGCCAGTGATGATGAGCATTTTTTCATGTGTCTTTTGGCTGCATAAATGTCTTCTTTTGAGAAGTGTCAGTTCATATCCTTTGTCCACTTGTTGATAAGGTTGTTAGTTTTTTTTCCTTGTAAATTTGTTTGAGTTCTTTGTAGATTCTGGATATAAGCCCTTTGTCAGATGAGTAGGTTCCAAATTTTTTTCCCATTCTGTATGTTGCCTGTTCATTCTGATGGTAGTTTCTTTTGCTGTGCAGAAGCTCTTTTGTTCAATTAGATCCCATTTGTTAATTTTGTCTTTTGTTGCCATTGCTTTTGGTGTTTTAGACATGAAGTCCTTGCCCATGCCTATGTCCTGAATTGTAATGCCTAGGTTTTCTTCTAGGGTTTTTATGGTTTTAGTCTGACATTTAAGTATTTAATCCATCTTGAATTAATTTTTGTATAAGGTGTAAGGAAGGGATCCAGTTTCAGCTTTCTACATATGGCTAGCCAGTTTTCCCAGCACCATTTATTAAATAGGGAATCATTTCCCCATTGCTTGTTTTTGTCAGATTTGTCAAAGATCAGATGGTTGTAGATGTGTGTCATTATTTTTGAGGGCTCTGTTCTGTTCCGTTGGTCTATATCTCTGTTTTGGTACCAGTACCATGCTGTTTTGGTTACTGTAGCCTTGTAGTATAGTTTGAAGTCAGGTAGCGTGATGTCTCCAGCTTTATTGTTTTGGCTTAGGATTGACTTGGTGATGCGGGCTCTTTTTTGGTTCCATATGAACTTTAAATTAGTTTTTTCCAATTCTGTGATGAAAGTCATTGTCAGCTTGATGGAGATGGCATTGAATCTATGAATTACCTTGGGCAGTATAGACATTTTCACGATATTGATTCTTCCTACCCATGAGCATGGCATGTTCTTCCATTTGTTTGTATCCTCTTTTATTTCATTGAGAAGTGGTTTATAGTTCTCCTTGAAGGGTCCTTCACATCCCTTGTAAGTTGGATTCCTAGGTATTTTATTTTCTTTGAAGCAATTGTGAATGGGATTTCACTCATGATTTGGCTCTCTGATTGTTATTGGTGTATAAGAATGCTTGTGATTTTTGCACATTGATTTTGTATCCTGAGACTTTGCTGAAATTGCTTAGCAGCTTAAGGAGATTTTGGGCTGAGACAATGGGGTTTTCTAGATATACAATCATGTCATTTGCAAACAGGGACAATTTGACTTCCTCTTTTCCTAATTGAATACCCTTTATTTCCTTCTCCTTTCTGATTGCCCTGGCCAGAACTTCCAAGACTATGTTGAAAAGGAGTGGTGAGAGAGGGCATCCCTGTCTTCTGCCAGTTTTCAAAGGGAATGCACCCAGTTTTTGCCCATTCAGTATGATATTGGGTGTGGGTTTGTCATAAATAGCTCTTATTATTTTGAGATATGTCCCATTAATACCTAATTTATTGAGAGTTTTTAGCATGAAGGGCTGTTGTTTTTTAGGTAAATATTTTTTAAGATTACCTGCCCACAAACATAAACTACCTATTGAGCCCTGCTTGTATTTTGATGGGCATATGCACATATACACTCAGAGTTGAATGTGGCTACTTTAAATGACTTCTGCCATTCTCATAAAATAATTAGCAGATTATCCAGTTTACAAACTTGATGACATTGCTATATAAGATACTGGAAAACAAATTCCATTATATAATATTTGCAGAGATAAGTTTTTGAAATTGATAAGCCACTTTTCCAGTATTTTTTATGCTAAATACAGTTGTTTGGATAAGGACATTCTTAGATACCTGGCTTCATAACTAATACAAGCAATTGATCATAACATACCCACAGTTAATTTTTTTCTTCACTTTTGCCCTACAATGGGTGCTCTTAAATTCCTTTGTAATATCTTTAAAGGCACAGAAGTAAGAAATGGAGAGAAAAATAAGCCTGAGAAGTCTTTGGGCTCCAAAAATCTTTTCTCTTGGTAACCATAGCAGCTCGTGACTCAATGAAGTGATAAAAAGACTTCATATTTTGGGCTTAAAAAACTTGTATATGTTAGTTTTTCTGACAAAGATAATCAGATACGACAATTACTAAATCGGGATATTAAAACTATCATCTCAGGATGAGAAAAATTATGTGTTTTCCTGTTGAAACTTTAGATTCTTTGTTGTTGTCATTGTCCCTTAAGGAAAACCTATCTGTCCTTGTGCCCCAGTAGCACTCCACATCTTTGGTAGATGTGAATTTATATTTTTTATCACTACTCTTGTGCTTGAAAAGCATGCTTCAACATTTCTTGTAGTGCTTTTCTGGAGGTAATATATTCTTTCACCTATTATTTTAACCTTATTAAAGTGTTAATTTTGCCTTTTGAAGATTATTTTCACTGTATATATAATTCTGAAACGACTTATTATTTCTTCTCTATACTTTAAATAATTTTTAGATTTTCATTTAGCTTACATTTGTTCTGAAGAGAAGTCAGAAGTATTTTTATCATTATTCCCTTTTCTATTACATGCCTTTTTGCCCGCCTACAATTACGAATTTTGAATTGTATGACTGTGTTGATATTCTACATCTCTCCACTGTTTTTCTTCTTTTCCTCTAAATCCTTGGACATATTTTAATACCAGCTTAATAATGCTTGTTTTCATTCTTAACAACATCCTGGCTATCTTAGGTCTGTTTCTATTGCTTATTTTTCTCCTAATTTTCTCATAGGTTTCTGCTATTTTTGCATGTTTAATAATTGTTTTTGTTTTATATTTGACATTTTTCATACTATATTATTTAGATTCTAGACTTCCGTCTTTGGTAGAAGTGTGTTGAATTTTATTTTGAGCAGACAGTTAATTTACTGGCACATTAGTTTGATCCAGTTGGTGCTTATTTTTAAGTTTTTAAGGCTGATTTAAGAGTATTTCTTCTGATAGGAGTAGATGAGCCCTACTTTGGAAGCTGACTTTTCTGAGTTCTTATTTAAACCCTGGGAGATGCTCAGTGAGTCCTTTCACTTTGACTGGTTGAAACTCTAATGGCTTTCAACATTGTTGAACCAGTGAAATCCTCATTCCGCTCATGGCCCCTTAGAAACAGTTCTCTGTGTGGCCTTGTGAAATCTTACTCTGTACATGCATAATATGTTGTTCACTCAAAAAATTCAAGAAGACTCATTTGTAGATTTTTAGATCTCTTTCTCAGTTCTACTCTTTCTTCTCTGGAATGTTCTTCATAAATTCCAGCCACCTCAGCTGCATCCTACAATTGGTTTCTCCATTCAGAAAAATTGCTGTGATCTATTTGGGCTCCTCTTTGCTTTCCTGCAGTTTTGGAAGTATCCCTATATAAAAGGCCAGCTTTAAATGTGGAGTTCACTTCAAGGATCACGACTCTATGCTGTGTGTTGTACAATGCTTTAAAATGGGCACATGGTACATTTTGTCTAGTTTTATAGTTGTTTACAGCAGAAGATTCAGTCTGAAATCCATTATTTTATTATGGCCAGAACCAGAAGTCAAACACTCTGTTTTTTAAAAAAGCACATATTGTGTACCTGCTACCTTCCATGTACCGTACCAAGTGTGTTCAAATACATAGTCAAGTCAGCTTTTACTATTTGTTGTTCCCCATGAAGGGCTTATATTTTATTTTATTTTTTTTCAGAGAGAGGGCTTAGGCAGATTTTTATTCAATATCTATGCATGCTGACTATTTCTGGTATATTTTTACATACTTCCTAAATACTGTTTGTCTTGCAAGATTTATGGCACTTCTTTTTTGCATGTTTTTCTAATTCATCTCCAAAATCAACCTTTCCCAACTTCATTTGTTCATAAGATACTTTTAAATTCACCTCTGTTATAGCATTTACCCTGTTGAATTATAGCTATCTCTGTATGTGTCATAAAAACCCAGCAAAATTTTAGGCCGCAACTGCCACTTTCCTCTCTTTGTGACTCAGCTTGTCACAATTACAAGTGCACATATTAGGCCATTTCTAAGGGTTCATTGTACTGAATACATGCTACCTAATTTAACTCACATAATAATTTTGTGAGGTATATAGTATAATTATCATTATGTTTAATAAATGAATTGAGTCTCATATAAGTTAATTATTTATTCTAGTTTACTAATGTCAGTGATAGAACTGAATTCTGAGTTCAAGCTCCGTGTTTGCAACTCTAAATCTACTAATCATCACTATACCACATTTATCATGCATTGCCTTCACTTTTGTTAGCCTGACAAATAGGAAAATAATACAATAATCCTTAAATATCAGTACTATCTCATACAATTTCATATAACTCACACAATTTTAATCACAATTGAAAAGGTCTATATAGCTTAATTAGTCTAACTCCCTATTCAATGGCCGTATTTTCTCTACAGTATTCCTGACCATAAGACTTTGTTTTGACCCTGCTGTTTGTGTCCCCCATCCCTTAAAGCAATCCATGTATGCTAGTAATTATTAATTCCTTAGAGTAGTTTACATATGCCATCCTAAAACTTGTATCCACCACCTCAAATATTTGAAAACAACTAATGTTGCCTTAAGTCCTCTTTCTTTCAAGGTAAGCATCTTTAGTTGCTTTTCTTTGCTCTTCTTCTTAGATTGGTTTCTACTCTTTACATCAAATATTTTCTGTTTGTGGACAAGATTTTAAGAAATGTAAAACTATGAAACATACTGTCCTGTATGATCATAGTAATCTGTGAGGCTATTATTATCTTAGGTGTTATTACAAAGCTTTTACTTTCCCTTTCCAAGATGAACAACACAGCAAGATGAATAAAGAAAATTTTCCCTCTAGTAACTAGAAGAGTTAGAGTAACTATAAGAGTTAGAGTAACTATGATTTACAGATGAAAACCTAGGGCCAGAGCCTTCCTGTAGGATATTAGATTTCCTTTTCAAGAGGTGGCCCCCTATATAATATTTTTAAATTATCTGCCCTCTTCCTTCAATTCTATCACTCTGTTATGTCCTTTGAAAAGAGACAGTGAAGGAGTTATATTTGGAAATATGCCCCATATTTTTTCTGATCACTGGAATGCAGAGGTGAACATGAACTTTATGAGCCTGTAGAGTTAGGGAGTACATGTTTTAAGTAATTAATTCTACAATCTTAAAAATAGCTCTCACAATAAAACAACAGCTGAATGGTGGGAGTTGGACATAATGGAGAAAATATGGACTAAAGAGATTATGAATAGGTATTGTAGAGAATCCATATTTTAATTGGGTGAATTAAGTAAACTCTTGGATGGATTAAAAGGTTAGATTCTGGTTGGATGTTGTTTTCCCTTATGTTCCAGAAATATGTCAACTCCCGATTTACAACAAAGGCCCAAATTCACAAAAAGAGAAAGACACCTCCTTCCCTACCTAGTAGAAGAAACTAATATTGCCATCAGACCATCCATATACCATTATTATTTTATATTACTCAGATTAAAATAGGCAGTGAACTTTCAATAATATATCACCTGATCTTTTGGTGTTTATATCAGAAATCTGTAATCTTTCTCTGATAAAGAGAATGAGCCCATGAGCCAATATACCTGACAAATGTGTAAAGGCAGGGACAGTGCCCAGGTTTCCCTGAGAAGTCTATCTCTGCCGCTACTTTCTCAGGGCCACGGAGGGCACATATCTCATGCAAGCACACATTTGCACTCACGTATGTGCATGTTTACCCTCTGGATCAGCCCAATTCTCCATTCACCTTTAGTTTTCCCTCATATTTTGGGAGTTCAGATTAGAAAACTGATCTAATCCACCCACATTTCTGGCATCTCTAAGCTTATATGTTATCAATGACCTCATGATCCTTTAGATTTATTTTTAATATCTGAGTATTTACTTCCAAGGGTTAATTAACCTTGGTGAAATCTTAAAATCTTCAGCTAAAGATATACTACATGACAGGCATACAATTTTGGAACTGCTTTGTTATGAACCTATACAAGGTAAATTGGCAGATTAAATATTAAAGTAGCTGCTTGAACAAACCTTAATGGCACAGCTTCCATCTCAGGACTTATTAAGATCCAGTGGTTGCTTAGAGATAAATTAGTTTGTTTGCTATAATTTGTTGATGAAATCACCATACAATATGCCATTAGAGTGCACATATTTCTTATAAGATACCTGTGGTAAAGCTCTTCCTGTCATCCTAAACTGGAGAACCTACTGAAATTAGCTTCATCATGAAAGTTTAGATGCAGCTGAAAATTCAGAGACAATTGCTTTATCTTAAGAGCTATTTTCACTTTTCCATTGCCACATTTAAAAGTTAAGGTTTATAGAGAAATATTCTCAAGTGATTATGGAACAAGTGCAGGAAAATAGAAGCATAAAAATATGTATTTCAAAGCATCAATTCTAATTCTGCTTCTAAAAATAGTCAGTGTGCAAAGCTGCAGTTGCTGGGGTATTGCTTCAATGAAGCTCCATAGTCACCATCAACTACATTTTCAGAATCCACAATCTTCATATATATACTTTATTTTTTAATATTATAGTGGAAGAAAGTGTAATAATTTGGTGGGAACTTCCTCCTATGTATGATATAGGAAGGTAGACAAATTAGCATCTGCCCATGCTATGATGACCACAGGAACAATCTTGTAGCTGACAATGACAAGAAATTACTGTCCTTGAATAATATCAAGCTTTAAATTTTTGATTACTGAAATTTCAGTAACAAATATTGCACTCAAAATTGAATTTCATAAAACTTTGGATTCATTCTACAATAGTAATATTCAGCTTCAGGTGAATAATGACGTTGATACTCAGCCTTTCGGTGTTCAGCCAAATATCTATTTGGTGCATCTCTACTTTATATATATTTGCAGATATTAAAATTTTTTTTCTGCTGTGTATCATCATAACTGATACATATACACAAACATACAAAATCTTATGAAAGGCAAATGCAAACATATACACAAAGAACATATTATAGAAAAATGTGAAAAAATAAAACATTCAAAGCAGAGATCATTACATAAGATGACAAAACTCAAACTAAACATATCTTCACTGTTATATGTAATGAAATAAAATTAATAATTAAAGCAAAAGACTTATATTGGACAAGAAAAATGTGTTGATAATTCTGTTAGCTCCACACAAATCCTTTATCTGACTTTCAGTACTCTGTTCTGTGCTCCAGGAGGTGAACTCCTAAGACTTTATCATTCAGGTTCCTCTGCCAGCTAGCTCCTAGTTGAATTGGATTAATGTAAGGCACTGGCAGTGGGTCAGATGGTTGAAGGAGAGAGAGATAAATCCTGATATCTATACCCTGCTTTCTTCCTAATTCTGCGTGAATGTAGTTTCTACCAGATAACTCTTCTCCACAGCACCAGCTCTTTCTAGGCTTCAATAATGCAAATTATACACCTTGTCCCTTCAGGTCTGGGGATGGTAACAGCATTTCACTGTTCCTGGTATCTGAGTACTACAGCAACCTTTCCTGGGGTTTTAAATCCTGCTCTAACTGAGGTAAGTAGTCCGTTCAACAAAGTCTCTATTGTGGATCTTTGAAGCAGATTTATTTTTCTTTTCTTTCTTTCTTTTTTAATAATAGTGATGGGGTCTCCCTATGTTGCCCAGGATGGTCTTGAACTCCTAGGCTCACGTGATCTCCCACCTTGGCCTCCCAAAATGCTGGGATTAGAGGTGTGAGCCCCCATACCAAGCCTGAAGCAGATTTCTGTTTTATACAAGGGTCCTAATTAATGTAGAAGCTATTACAAAATGGGGTATGTAAGAATATCTGTTTCTTAGGGAATAACAGGTAACTATACCTTGTACTGCCTACCACACAGAAAGAACAGAGTGACTGAGAGGCTTCTCTGGATTTTGGAAGTAACATGACTACAGTTATGTGTATTCAAACCTATTACAGGCTAACTCACAAGTCTACACATTTAGAAAAAATAGCTCTTTGCAGCAGGTTCAGTCTGTGCTGTAGGCTCCTCTGCTGCGTGTGTATTTTGACTCAGTAGATCTAAGTATCTGGCTTAGAGTAATGCTGTTTGAGGCTTCCAAGTAACCCCAAGAAGACAATCATAGTTCACCTAACTAATAATTTTGGAACAAAACTATGTCCCCTTCTGCCAAATATTTTTATCTATTGAAGAAGTCTGGCTTGTCACCAGGTAACTATGTGATTTGAAGTGTTAACTATCAACCGGGTGCTATCCAAGTTATCAAATCTTAAAACTGTGCTTGAAAATTAGCAGGTTATTATAAAATGGAATTGATATGGGTGACATTAAGGCTGAACAGGAAGGGGAGTCACAAGTATATTGAATGAGCAGGTAGTTCAGACCTTTATTAGCTATTCCTGCTTAGTTATCAAATTTTCCTCAACTCTCATTCATATTCAACAGGGGAATCCCCTAAAGAGAAGGTGCTCAACAATCAGGTAGATTAGGTGTCTGATCTTTCCTGTGGATGTCTATCAAGCTTTCTCCCAGTGATACTGGTGCTTACCTAGTGGAACCATGCAAAAAGTAATCATAGATGCATGGGTGGTAAATATGCATGAACTCAACACAATGGACTACCCTTTAGCAACCCTGATCTGTCTACTATCATTGAGTGTCCAACTTGTCAATACCAAGGGCCAATGTGTTCCTGATATGGCACCATTTCATAGGGACACCGACCAGGCTCCTGGTGCCAGAGTGATTACATTGAATCCTTTATATTGTGGAGTAAGCAATCATTTGTCCACATAAAACCAAATACACATTCTAGAAATGGGTTTCTCTCCTCTGCTTTCAATGCTTCTACCAGTGTCACCATATGTCACCTTATAGAATGCCTTATTCATTGCCATAACATCCCATACTACATTGCCTTTGACAAGGAAACTCATTTTATAGCAAAACAATTGTTACAAAAGATCCATGCCCATGAAATTCATGTTTCCCCACATGTTCCATCACCAGTAAGCAGCTGGCCTGATAGAATGATGGAATGGCTTCCTAAAGGCTCAGTTTCAGTGCCAGGTGTGACAAAATATTGCTTGAAATTGTGGTGCTGGCCTAACAGATTAAACTATTAGCCAATACATAAGCCATATTTCCAAAAGCCAGAATATGTAGGATCAGGAACTAAGAAGTAGAATTATTTTACCTAATATTCGATTTACAGAATTTTATTTCCCTTCCTGGAAACTTGTATTTAGTAGCTTTGGAGGTTCTCTTTTCCAAGGAAGGAACATTTCTTTCAAGAAATATAGCTATGTTTCCATTAAATTTGGACCTGAAATTGCACCCTTGCTATTTTTAGCTCCTAATGCCATTGACCTAACTGGCAATAAAGAGTTTAACTATACTGAATGGATTGATTAATTCTGATTAACAAATGAAAACTAGGCAAGTAGGCCTAGTTGGAATCCAGGAGATCTGCTGTGGAGTCTTTTAGCACTTATATGTCCCGTAAAGAGCCACCAAATAAAGACAGTATCACTAGGGACTTCGATCCTATGAAATGAAGATTTGCGTCATCCCATGAGACAATAATTCCTGTACTATGGAAGTAGTAAAGTTTGCTTGAAAATGGAATGGACAATAGAAAAAGGAAATTATGATGATAAAATTTAGCCTCATGACAAAAAGTGAAAATAGTAGTAGCTAATTTACATATTTATATTAACTGAATATTTCTTTCCCCTCACTCTCCTTGCTATCTCATATAAAGAATACTGATAGTGGGTGACATTAACATTTATAATCCAGTTGGGAATAAGACTGAATTGCTGACACCCTGCCACAATTTAAATTATGCTAGGACTGTGGTCTCTCTGTACTGGAGATCCAATTTTCTTAATCTAAGCAAGAGGCAAGAATGAATGCGAAGTCGGAGTAATGTTCTGGTAAGTTTTTATTGACTTCATGGATTTATTTTCTTCCCTTGTCTAACTTGCTCTGTGCTCATGGATGCAGAGCCATGCAGTCAACATCATCCAGATTCCTTTGTCGCCTGAATTTCAGCAGAAGGCACTCAGTGGGAGGCTTCTCTAGGGTTCAAGTTAGGTGGAGAGGAGAATGGGTTATTTCTTCCCCGATTCCCTCTGCTTTGGTTCTGTGCTTCTGCCAGGGGCTGAATCTCTCCATAACTAGAACTTCTGCTATGTGACCTTTCTTTGTAGCTCCAGAACTCACTTAGCTCTGGTAATGCTATCTTTTCTCTTGTCCCTTTATGGCTTCCTGTGGTTGGTGTCTTTGTTCCTCTGCATCTCTCTTTCTCTCTTATTTTTTTAACCCTAGCTACACCTCCGTAAACAGACTCTTTAAGTTCTTGACAGTGAAAACTCTGAGAGGAATCATGATTCCTTACAGGATTACATTCAGTAACAAAGCCAATGATTTATTGCATACAAGCAGAAACTCTAATAAAAATTAACTCAAAAGCTTGAAAGTGAAGCTTTGGGCAAAAGAACTACAGGCAAATGGAAATTAAAACAAAAAGGAAAGATCACAATATTTAGAACAAATAGGTTTTATTCATGGTTGGTAAAAAATATGAAGAAGGACAAAGGCACTTTGTATCAATAAAAAGGTCACTATAAATAAGTAACTGTCATAAATATTTATTAAATATGTATGCAAAATTCAGAAAGCAAAAACTTCAGAAGCATTTTAAAAAATACAATTTATAATACTATTTTTTCAGCTGATGGAAGATCAAGTGAAAAAAATAAGTGAGATTTAGGAGGACATAAGCAATTAATGGAAGATAACTAATATGTGTATATTTATTCAAATACTCATGGAATAATAGTCAAAATGGACAAAGTATTGGGCCTCAATGAAAACCTTAGCATATTCCAAAAAGTAAAAATAGTGTATAATTTAGTCCATGATGACAATGTAATAAAACTGGAAATTATTTCTGGGAAGTGATATTGCCTGCAATTGTTAATTTCTACATTTTTAAAAATAATTATTCTATTATTTTGTTCAGTAAACATTGTACTTTTTATAGGTAAAATATCAAAATACTCAAATATATACAAAAAGTTCATAATATATAATTTTAAAAATACCATACAAATATCAAACTTAGAAGAAGCATAAACAATTGTAGATGTGCTAATAGCCCTCAATGAGTTCAGAATTTTATAATTAGATATTAAAAGAAGGGTAAGAAGTACCTGTATACTAAGTGGATAGTGCACAGCCACAAGTTGGGTATAGCCCTATAAATTGTCTATTTTAAAGTATACATATATAGTAATTTGCTATTCAGAAATGTTGAATCATTTAAACATAATTTTATTATTACAGAAACAGTATATGTGCATCAGAGAAAAGTTTTTAAATGCAGAGGAGCAAAATGTGTTGAAATAGTCCTATAAACAAGAAAGCACTATTGTTAGTACCTTTTACTCTAGCCTTACATATTATTTTTCATCAAATATACACTTTGTAACCTCTTTTTCAGTCAATAATTTTCACATTTTTGTTTTCATGCATTTTCATTATATATAATAACCATGCTGTATTTAGATGTCTTTAATTAGTTAAACATTTTTCTTTATGGCTGATTTCTTTAAACCAGTCTCAGTGCAGTCCTGCACATTATATCTAATTGTCCACCCCTTAATTTTTTTTTAAATCTAGAATTACCCCCCTTTTTAAATGGTACTGACTTGTTGAAGGAAAGAGGACAATTGACCTACAAAATGGCATACCTTGAGGCTTTGCTTGATTGCTTTCTGTGTCTAAATTTACACCTAATGCCTTAATGGCTGCCAGTTAAACACGCTTGACTAGAATAAATCACAGGTGAAATTTTGTACCTCATGTTGTACTACATCAGAAAATTTGTAATGTCAGATTGACCCACAGTTGAGACAGTAAAAGTGATCATTGGTTTGTGTGATATCTGATATCTGATACTGATGTCATCCTTCAGTTAGATTGCCCCTTTTGCAAGTATGGGATGCTATGAAGGTCTACGTCCCCATAAGCCTTCACTTAATGAATTTTAGCAGCAATGTTTCTCTTTCATAAGCTTCCACTGAAATATAATATAATTGAATTGTGCAAATCGTAATTGTATAGCTCAAGGAATTAGTTCAGAGTGAACACACCCATGAAACTATCAACCTGGGTCAAGAAACACTCAAAGGACACATAGGAGGCTCCTCATGCCCCAACCACATTATTTCCCTCTCCCTTCTCCCAAAATGTAACCACTCTCCTGATGTCAAATGGCAAAGAATAATTTACCCCCTATAAATAGAGTAATACAGAATGTGTTTGTATTTGTTCCTCTTGTTCAAAATTATGATCAAGATTCACATATGTTATTGTGTGTATCTTTATCATATTCATTTTGATAGATGTAAAGTAGTACAATCTATTCATACACCACTATTTATTCTTTCCTGTCTTGCTAGACATTGCTTTCCTTCTGTGGCTAAATAATCCATTTGTGAACATTGTTATAAGTTTCTATTACTGCATATGTGCTTACAATTCTGTTGAATGCATACCCAGAAAAGAAATTCTTGGATCATATAGGACGCATGTGTTCAAATGTTGTAGATAATATGAAACTTGTTTCCAAAGTGGTTGTTCAAAATTCATCCTGATAGCATAAGAGATTTCCAGTTGCTTCAAAACCACATCAACACTTTAAATTATTTTCTATCTTTTAACTTTTCTGGTGAATGTATAGTATTTCTCCCGATGGACTTAATTATTATTTAAGGACAAGTGAGGTTGGACGTCCTTTAAAACGTTTATTAGATATTTGTATAATCTCTTTTGTAAACTGCTTTTTCAAAATATCGCCCATATTCCTATTGGGTGGTCTCTCTTCTTATTGTTCGAATTTTTATGTATTCTGCATATAAGCCATTTGTCAATTATATAAACCACAAATAATCTAGTTTCACTTGCTTTTGCTCTCTTATTGGTGCCTTTTTAGAGAAGAAAACTCTTTTTAATTTTAATACAGTTGAAATCATTAATGTTTTTCATATCCTGCTTAAGAAACCTTTGTCTTCCCAGGCCCTGAAGATATTCTTTATTATCTTATACAATTATTGCTTTTCCATTCCTGTTTAGATCTGCATGAATGAAATGGTTTTGTGAATGAGGTGAGGTAAAAATCTAGATTTCTTTTTCCATACCGATACAAGATTCTATACTATTTGTCTATCTATGCTTGTGATATTTACCTTTCTTCATTACTATGGTTTATATTATAGCCTTGATATCTGGGACTGTAAGTACTTTGTTCTTTTTTGAGATGTTAGCTGTTCTTAGCCTTTTGCATTGTCACCTAAATTCTAGAATTCACATGTCAATTTTTGAAGATAAAGAAGCCTCTTGGAACTATGATTGATATTGTAATCAACAGATGAATTTAGGAAAATGGACATCTTTATAAATTTAAGTTTTCAATTTATGAACACATTCTATCTCTTGATTTATTTAGGTTTCATTCAATATTACTCAATAAAGTTATATAGTTCTGTAGAGATTTTGCATATATTTAATTAAATTTATCTCAAGTATTTGATGTTTTGATGCTGTTCAAAGGGGTATCTTTTTATATTTTAATCTTCTATTTATTGTGTAAAGAAATACACTTTTTAAAATATTGATCTTGTATCAGAAACCACACAAAACTGTGATATTAATTCTAATAAGTAGAAAATTATCTTGGACATTTCATAAACACAAATGTATAGTATGAAAATGGGAGTGGCATTTTACCTTTCTGGTCTTTAGTCTTTACTCCTTGCCATCTTGCACTGGCTATGAATGGATTAGAATAAAGTGGGATGGAGTAATGATAATAAGTAATCTAGCCTCATATTTTATCTTGCGGACAAAATGTTTAACATTTCACATTATGAAGGATTTTGCTGCAGATTTTTTTTTAAGATTATGTTTATCAATTAAAATGCTACAGTTTGTTGAGGTTTTCAATTCTAAAAAATACTATTATCAGAGATTTTAGACAATCATCTGGTTTTTCTTTTTATTCAGTAGTACATTGCACTAATAGACTTTTAAATGTTTTTGGCAAATTTGAGCAGAAGGAGGATAACCTTTCAAACACGAAAGTTGCAAGAAAAGTATAAGAAACCACAAAGTATTTTACTGAGATTTTCAGATTCACCAGTTGTTTATGTTTTGCTCCATTTATTTATGATTTTTCCTCCTCTCTCATTCTTCTCTTTTTTTAATTATTTAAGACTAATATGTCAAATTTGCCCTTCTACCCTGTTAGGGTTTTGCTGTGTCCCCACCCAAATCTCATCTTGAATTCCCACATGTGTGGGAGGGACCCAATAAGAGGTAATTGAATCATGGGGGCACGTCTTTCCCATGCTATTCTCATGATAGCAAAGAAGTCTCAAATATCTGATGATTTTATACAGGGGAATTTCCCTGCACAAGCTCTCTTCTCTTGTCTGCCACCATGAGAGACACAGCTTTCACCTTCTGCCGTGATTGTGAGGCTTCCCTAGCCACATGGGACTGTGAGTCTATTAAACCTCTTTTCTTTTGTAAATTGCCCAGTCTTGGGTTTATCTTTATCAGCAGCATGAAAACGGATTAATACATACCCCCAAATGAATCAATTTGACTTTCTAAAAAAAGGACATCTCCCTATAACCAAAGTATAATTATCAAAATCAAAAAAGTTTACTCATTGATTTTTTAACGTTAAAACATCCTTACATTTCTGGAATTAAAGGAAGTTTGTTAGTCTACATTAAACTTTTAAAATATGCTACTGAATTTGTTTAAAAAATTTGCATAAGATTTTTACTTCAATTTGTATATGAAGCCTGGATTGTGTTTTTCTTTCATGTACTGCCCTGTAAGAGTTCTTATCAAGATAATGTGGCCATCATAAAGTGTGTTGGAAAGGGTTTCTGCAATTACAGAAACTAAGTGTTATAGAACTCTAAGTGTTATAAAAGAATTACTATTCCTTTATTAAATCTTTAGAAGAATTTGCAGGCAAATCCTGGCATGGACTATTCCAAAATTGAATATGTTAAATATTTAATTTCATTAATGTAAATCAGATTACTCATATTTTGTTTTTTTCCAGTGTCTGCTTTAGTAAGTAGTATTTTTCTTGGAATTTGTCCACTTTTTTCTAAATTTTCAAATTCTTGCCAAAATTTGTTCATAATATCCTTAAATAAATTTAAAAAAATCACATGTATTGATGTATAATTTACATTCATTAGAATTTACTCTTCTTAGACATCCAGTTTGATGATTATTGATAAATTACATTCATTAGACTTTACCCTTCTTAGATATACAGTTTGATCATTATTGATTAATGTATATAATCATATAACTACCACTGCAATCAATATACAGAATACTCCCATCACCCCCATAAATTCCCTCAATTTCCTTTGTATTAAGTCTCCAACCCCTACTTATATACCCTGGCAACCACTGATCTGATTTGTCTCTATACTTTTGCCTTTACCAGAATATCATATAAATGGAATGAAACAGTGTATTGCCTTTCATGTCTTTTGCAAAATTATGTTCTTTCATGGATTTTAAGTTTCTTCTTTTTAAATTGCTAATATTAACCTACTATCTCTATATAGAAAACTTTGTTTATCACTAGCTGATTGATGTACATTTGAGTTGTTTCTAGGTTTAAGGTATTGTGAATAATTTGCATATAGGGATTTACATGAACTTCCCTTGCTCCCTTTTTTGGGGGTAAATTCTTAATAGAGGACTTTCTGGGTTGTATGTAAGAGAATGTTTAAAATGATAAGAAACTGCCAAACTGTTTTCCAAAGTTGCTGTATCATTTTGCATCCCTGCTAGCAAACTGCGAGTTTTGTGGTCCACATCCTCACTATCACTTGATGCTTTCAGTTGTCTATAAGTTTTAAATTTTAGCCAATTTATTTATATGTGTAGGGGCATCTCATTGTGGATTTAATTTACATTTTTCTAGTGAATAATAATGTTGATAATTTCATATGCTTACCGGCCATTTGCATATCTTCTTTGGTGAAGTGTTTGCTCAAATGTTTCCCTACTTTAAAATTTTAAAAAATTAAAATTATTTTATATTCTGCTAATATTTTACAACTGAAGTTCACAAAACACTGAAAGGGTTAATTCAGACACACTGGCAGAAACTGCAGTCTCTGGTAATCTATATATATTACTTACCAATAATTGGTACAGAGTTCTGAGTATTGATTAAGAAGCCTGAGAAAGAACTAGGACAAAGCACTTCTGAGCCTTTAGATAACTTATTTTCTTGGACTGGATTTGCCAAAACAAAATTGATGTTTGGCTATATGTTTTTGGTCATATTTCAAAGAATAATATCTTTAGGAGATAATTCCAAATATCCAGAAAAATGCTTATCTCGAAGTCTACTTCTGAACCTTGAAACTTGACCCAACCTCCCACATATCTTTTCCAGGCAATTACTTTGGCTTTCTCTAATTCATTCCCTAGTCAGGATCTTAACCTTTATTATTTTTTCTTTTCCCCAGCTTTCTTGAACTAATAGTATCTGTGAAACATATTCTTGGAAAGCAAAGCAAACAAAGAAACACACAGTTAACCAAAAGTTAATAATTTGATGAACAATGTCATGTCAAATGTTAGAATACCATACCAGTAGTATGTCTCTGTTGTTTGTTTGCAGATCTAGTGAAATCATAACATACGACTCTCAGAAAACAGCAAGGTAAAGATGGTTTCTCAAAGATGTCCTAGACTTAACAGCAATAAGGTTCTAGGTAGGAGACTGGGTCCAATTGCTTTTTAACTTTTAATCCAATAAGACTTTATCTTTATTAGAAGGAATGATATTTTTTAAACGGTAGTTAAAAACAGGTAAGAAATGAGTGATTATTACACAACAGTGCACTCTATAGTATGTGATAAACATGTCTCTCTCTTCTGACTTAACAGTCTGAATTAAAATGCTACTATTTCATTAATCAGTATGATATTTAAATCACCAAATTAAAAATGATCACTGTGTGTTAAGATTTTCTCTAATGACACTTCACTATGCAGAACATGGTAATTACTTTGAGAAATCAGCTATTCCAAGGTAACTGGGCAGTCACAATATTTTATCAGGTAAATTACCAGTCACCATCAACATTCATCAAAGACTCATTTGGATTTTATTACAGATTGACATTTACTTATTTGCCCAACTTTTAAAATTACAACTGTTGCACGATTGCCCCAGGGTGCCACTGTAGAAAGTTAGCACACTAATTACATTAATTATCACAAATAAAAGTTTATCAAAGAGTAGCATGTAATAACATAGCATTTTTTAAAAGCAACTTAGGGCATCCCTATAATACCTTAAATTTAGGTATTACATTGAAATTTTCAAGACTGCTTTACCTCTATAGTTTTATTCTTTAACACCTCAGCTACAGGAATGTTATTATTAATGCCATTTCAGAAATGAAGAAGCCACAGCCAAAACAGCTGCATGATCGCCCTGAGATCATATACAGCTGGAACAGTTTAAGGTCAAGTCGGAAACCACATTTCCTAAACTTCCAACTTTCCATTTTTTGCCTCTATATTTTTCTGCCTTTTAAGGATGAAAAGTAAAGTATTTATCTTTTATGCTCCAATGTATCAACACGTTAGGTGAACTAAAGATCCAAAAGTGAGTCTCATCTGCTTGCTTTTTCCCATCTCTATTGCTACCGACCTAGTCAAGCAAACATCATCTTTCTTCTCAAGTACCTGTAACAACTCCCTTCCTTCTTGCCCCATAAAAATCCATATTATACAGAGAAACCCAACTGACTTCTAAAATATAAATGAGATCATGCCATTTTTTTTTTTTTTTGCTTAAAATGATCTGTGGATTCTCAACATACTGGAATAAAATCTAAATCACCAAGTCCTATAAAATTCATGTAATCTGAACCCCTCTCCCATTTCATCTCTGATCATTCTGTATCTCCTCATTATTCCGCTTTTTTTTTTTTTTTTGTCTGATGGTTGAGCCTATTGCCAAGATTGAGCCTGCCTCTGAGTCTTTGTTCTTCTATTTTACTCTGTTTGGAATGTTCTACCCCCAGGTTTCTGCAGAACTGGTTTCAAATTCCTACTCCTCAAAGAGATTTTCTTAAATAACTGAACCTAAACTGACCTTTCCTCTTTCTCCTTCTTTCCTACAGCCTATCCTCTAGTCATTCCTTATCACATTCTGTTTTATTTTTATGCCATTTTTCTTTGCTTTCAGAAGTTATCAACTCCCGCACCTTAGAAGTCCACAGAAGAGTCTGTGTATCTTGATTACTATCTGTAACAGAAGCTATGCATTCTTCACTCCTACCTCTAAAGGCTGCTCTGGAAATCACCTGCAACTTCAGTTGACGGTTCTCTTATATTCTAAAGAGCTTTCTATCTCAACATCTCTCAGCCTGAGGCCATTCTCTGAGTATTCTTCCTAGCAGACAAGAAATGCCAGGAAGTTAAGGGCTCAAGGTATTAGGATGGTGGAAAATTAACGGTGGGTTTTGCTATTAGTACAACCTTTATTCCATAGATAAAATCAGGAAATTACTATGTACACGGCTCCTTCATTCTTCAGGTGGCCGATTATAAAGGTGTGTTCTACATCTTTCACAGTCTCCAGCATGACTGAACCCTAGCTGCCCACAGTAGAAACCAGGTTATTCATGTGCACTTCATTGCCTTTCATTTCTCTATCTATTTTGTTGTTAAATAAAACAAAATCACACCCACTTCCCTGTCCCCAGTGCCTGACTGGACTCATCAAACATACTATTGTCCTCTTCCCTGCTCTTTGTTTTCAACATTTTCCTTCCCCACTGACTTGTCTTGTCTCCACTAATAATCTTCTTTCTATAACTTCCTTCTCTAAGCCATATGCTTTTATCTCTCACCAATGTCCTGGATCACTGTCTTGAAGGTGGTTATCTCCACATGGCATTTTTGTCTCCAAGTTTCAATAACTAATACTGCCCTTCATCCCTTCAGGCCTAGAGAAGGTAACAGTTGCAGGGTACATACAGAATTATCCCTTTTGGTTTATCTATACACTATCCACAGCTTTTAAATTGCTCTTTTATTATATTCTATTCAAATTAAACAACTTAAGTATATTGTGCATTTTCCCTGGTACACTGATACATACCATTTGTACATTCAGGTTTTAGTGTATATTCAAAGAGTGATTTTCCTTTCTCTCTTCCTATGAGATTTTTCACTTCTTTCTTGAAATTTGCTTAAAGAATACAGCATATCCAGGTTTTAGGGGAAAAGAGACTCGGCACTAAAAACAATAATACTTTGCTGTGCACTAAATTCACAAGAACAATTTTTCTTTATCTATTTCTGCTTCTTTTTTAATTCCTAGAGAAATCACTTTTTGTCTGATATCTCTTCTTTCTTCAGAAACCTTATTTTTGTTACAGCTCAAAGCAAACCTCTCGGGCTTCTCTTTTGGAGGCAAACCTTCTCTTTGGAGTAGCATAAAGACATTGTACTCTTATTTACTTCTCTTCAGTTTTATTTTATTTTATTTTATTTTATGAGGAATTAAATGTATAGAGTGAAATATACACATATTAAAGGTATAAACCCCTGTGACACACATCTTAATCTGAACACAAAACATTTCTTTCACCTCATAAACTTCTCTCATGCCCCTTTCCAGTCAGTATTGCTGCAACACAAGGCAACTGGTGATTTGGTTTCTATCACCATAATTTAGTTCTGCCAGTTCTTGAACTTCATATAAATGAAACCATAGCACATGTAATCTTTGGGTCTACCTTCTTTCACTCAGTGTAAAGTTTTTGAAATTTGTCTGTTGCTGTGTGTCTTGATGGTTTGTTCTCTTTTGTTACTGAACAGTGTTGAGTAAAAGAGTCAAACTCTGTAAAATATTTGAAGAGATTTATTCTGAGTGAAATATGAGTGACCATGGCCTGTGACACAGCCCTCCTCAGGAGACCCTGAGAAAATGTTCCCAAGGTGGTTGGGGTTCAGGTTGATTTTATACATTTTAGAGTGTTAAAACACACTAAATATGGCCTGAGAAGGACTCCATACTTCTATATTTGAATCTTTGTGGACAAACTGCAACGTAACTTAATAGGTAGACAAGGTTGAAAAACCTAACTTAGGAGTATGCACCTGTAACAATAGCTGAGTGTTGGCCAATCCCAGCAGCCATACTTCAACCACTCTTACACTACTGAGTGTTCAAACTCTATTCAACTAAGGCAAATGCTAAGCTGTAACCAATTCACTTGTTTCTGTACCTCACCTCCAATTTCTGTACCTCATTTCCCTTTTTATGGCTATAAATCTTTCACCACGTGGCTGTGCTGAAATCTCTCTGAATCTGCTGTGATTTCAGGGACTGCCCTATTCATGAATTGTTGATAGCTGAATTGAACTTCTTTAAATTTAATTCAGCTGAAGTTCTTCTTTTAACAGATGCTGTCAGAAGTGGGATCTGAAGTAGAGCCTTAACAATCCCCAGGACTGTTGAGTGAACAAGCAAGGTACCTGCAAGGACCTACTTTTGTCCCTTGATCTCTCAAAGTGGCTGGGGATCATGGGTAAGTTCTCTCAGATTTCAGAACTCCATGGATTTGTGTTTGGAATTCTCTGAGTTTCTCTGAACAAATTTGTGATCCAAACAGTTTGAAAGTTAGGACAGAAACTGAACTAGGTCCAGGATCAGATTTGATCTGGTAATTAACTGACTTGGATCCAGCTGGAGGCCTCTCTCTCTCTCTCTTTTTTTTTTTTTTTTTGAGATGGAATCTTGCTCTGTCACCCAGGCTGGAGTAGAGGGGCATGATCTAGGCTCACTGCAACCTCTGCCTCCTGGGTTCAAGAAATTCTCCTGCCTCAGCCTCCCAAGGAGCTGGGATTACAGGTGCCCACCACCATACCCAGCTAAGTTTTGTATTTTTAGTTGAGACGCCGTTTCACCATGTTGGCCAGGCTCATCTTGAACTCCTGACCTCAAGTGATCTACCCACCTAGGCCTCCCGAATTACTGGGATTACAGACGTGAGCCACCATGCCTGTCCCAGTTAGAGGCCTCTTACCTTTGGCTGAGATGAAAGAAAATGTTAGTAAATGGTAATATTGCAGTGGTTGCAAAATTTGGCTTTTAGAAATGCACAGAGATTCTTGAGTTCTACCCCTTCATTTCATTTTTCTTGTGTAGTTAGTTAGAAAAAAAATTATTTTCTAAGTCAATCAATGGAACCTAAGAGTAAAGCCAATATCTTAGGTAAAAATGGGATCCTTAATTTTTGAAAGTCTGAGTTTCTTCCATCTTTTTATTTTTTATTTTATTTATTTATTCATTATTACTATTATTATTTTGAGACGGAGTCTCTCTCTGTCACCCAGGCTGGAGTGCAGTCACACAATCTCAGCTCACTGCAAGCTCTGCCTCCCAGGCTCAAGCGATTCTCCTGCCTCAGCCTCCCAAGTAGCTGGGATTACAGACACGTGCCACCACGCCCAGCTAATATTTTGAATTTTTAGTAGAGACAAGTTTTCACCGTGTTAGCCACGATGGTCTCAATCTCCTGACCTTGTGATCCACCCGCCTCAGCCTCCCACAATGCTGGGATTACAGGTGTGAGACACTGTGCCCGGCCTAAAGAAACAGAATTTTATTAATCAGCTGAGTTAGCATTACAGTGGCTTAGGAATCATTTGCCATTGTTTGAGGTTGCAGTGAGGACAACATGAAACACCTGATGAAAAACCTTCACAAAACCTGTCTCTTTCCAACAGCTTAGCTATGTGAGAATAGCTTTTATAACATGACAACCCTAAAAATAAAACCATTTTAAAGTTAAAGCTGTCCTTCCAGTTGCTGTTTCAAACTTTATCCCAAGAACTGAGGTGTCGTTCAGTAAAAGGCAACTACAGACTTCTCAGCAGTAAGGCTAAGCACTTGTTTTACATTTTCTGGTGATGAATTTATTTCTTGTCTTTGAGTTTACAGTGACAGCTATAAAAGTGATTGTCAATAGTATTAGTATAATTTAATTTCTAATAGAATGTGTTTTCCATGTATGTTTTAGTCAGAGCTATGATTTTCTTAATAATACCAGAACTTGTTTTGTGCTCTATGATGATGATATTAGTGATCTGTATTCTCAGCAGTATTTTACAGTACTTCAGACTATTAATACATTAATCTGTGTTTTTGGCTGGGTGCTGTGGCTCATGCCTGCAATTCCAGCACTTTCAGAGGCTGAGACGGGTGGATCACTCAAGCTCAGAAGTTCGAGACAAGCCTGAGCAACATTGTGAAACCCCCTCTTTACTAAAAATACAAAAATTAGTTGGGTGTGGTGGTGGGCACCTGTAATCCCATCTACTTGGGAGGCTGAGACAGGAGAATCGTTTGAACCCAGGAGGCGGAGGTTGCAGTGAGCTGAGATCGCACCATTGCACTGCAGCCTGGGCAAAAAGACGGAAACTCCATCTCAAAGGAAAAAAAAAAAGAGTAAATAGTAAGATCGGGCATGGTGGCTCATGTCTGTAATCCTAGCACTTTGGGAGGCTGAGGCGGGTAGATCACCTGAGGTCAGGAGTTCGAGACCACCCTGACCAACATGGAGAAACCCCATCTCTACTAAAAGTAGAAAATTAGCCAGGCTACGTGGTGCATGCCTGTAATCCCAGCTGCTGGGGAGGATGAGGTAGGAGAATCACTTGAACCCAGGAGGTGGAGGTTGCAGTGAGCCATGATCACAACATTGCACTCCAGCCTGGGCAACAAGAGCGAAACTACATCTCAAAATAAAATAAAATAAATAAAATGAAGAGTGCATAGTGTTCCTTTATGTGTGTGTGTGTGTGTGTGTGTGTGTGTGTGTATCATATTTTCTTTATCCATTCATCCTATGCTGGCCTCCTAGGTTACTTTCATATCTTAGCTATTATGGATAATGCTGCAGTGAATATGGTAGTGCAGTTATCTCTTCAGTATGCTGATTTCAATTCCTTTCGCTATACACACACAGGTGGGATTGCTGGAACATATAGTAATTCTATTTTTAATTTCTGATGAATCTCCATGTTATTTTCCTTAATGGCTCTATTCATTTACGTTGGGAAATATAATTACTTTTTTTTTTTTTTTGAGATGGAGTCTTGCTCTGTTGCCCAGGCTGGAGTGCAGTGGTGTGATGTAGGTTCACTGCAAGCTCCACCTCCTGGGTTCACACCATTCTCCTGCCTCAGCATCCTGAGTAGCTGGGACTACAGGTGCCTGCCACCTGCCTGGTTACTGTTTTTTGTATTTTTAGTAGAATGATGTTGGGAATGGACTGGTTTATTCAATAAATTGTGTTAGGTACATTGACTAATAGTGTGTAGGATTGAAGTTATATTTACTGAATTCTTTAAGGTATAGTCAAAACAGACTGAATAATTAAATGTAAAAATGATCTGGAGAAAACCTTCTTGTTTGGTTTTTTGAGATGGAGTCTCACTCTGTCATCCAGGCTGGAGTGTAGTGGGGCGATTTTGACTGACTGCAACCTCAGTTTCCCAGGTTCAAGTGATACTCCTGCCTCAGCCTCCCAAGTAGCTGGGATTACAGGCATGTGCCACCACACTCAAATAATTGTATATGTTTTAAAATAGGAATAGATTTTCTAAGCTAAACTGAAGATAAATGCTAAGGAAACAGTGAGATTTGACTTGATAATTATGTGTGTGAATGAATCAGCCAATTAATAAAATGAAAACAGGGCAGGGGCAGTGGTGCATGCCTGTAATCTGAGCACTTTGGGAGGCTGAGGTGGGTGGATCACTTGACGTCAGGAGTTCAACACCAACCTGACAAACATGGTGAAACCCCATCTCTACTAAACACAAAAAAGTAGCTTGTTGTGGTGGCACATACCTCTAATCCCAACTACTTGGGAGGCTGAGGCAGGAGAATCACTTGAACCTGGGAGGCGGAGGTTGCAATGAGCTGCGATCACGCCATTGCACTCCAGCTTGGGCAACAAGAGCAAAACTCTCTCTCAAAAAAAAAAAAAAAAAAAAAATCTCTGCCCCACCAAGTTTTTCACATAGAATGATTAAGGTTTCCAGAGCCCATGCTACCTCTGGGGGCTCCTACCCCTCCCACACCACACATATATCTTGACAGGGCTAGTTACAGAGAAGAAAAGGCCTAGTAAATTAATATCACAATCATTTCCACATACCCACCAAAAGACTCAAATTAAAATTTTGACAAAATTAAGTATCAAGAAGAATGCGAAGATTTGGGAAGTATCAGACATTGTAAGACTGTCAGTTGGTGTGTTAACATTGGGATGAAACCAATAATAGCTAGTAAAATGGAAGATATGTTTCCCCTGTAACCTATGGTTTCACCTCTTGTTTTATACTGTTCACTATACACACTATACACACTAATGGTAAACAAATAGAAATACACAAATGTTCACAACAGCATCATTTGTAACTGGCAAAAATGAACACAACCCACATGTCTACCAACAATGAAGGGTTACACACTGGTGTACTGTATTTTTATTTTTATTTTTATTTTTATTTTTATTTTTAAGATGGGGTCTTGCTCAGGACCCCAGGTTGGAGTAAAGGGAGCGATCTCGGCTCACTGCATTCTCTGCCTCTCAGGTTCAAGTAATTCTCCTGTCTCAGCCTCCTGAGTAGCTGGTCTTACTGATGGGTGCCGCCACTCCCAGCAAATTTTTGTATTATTGGTAGAGACAGGGTTCCACCTTGTTGGTAAGGCTGGTCTCAAGCTCCTGACCTGAGGTAATCCACCTGTCTCAGCCTCCCAAAGTGCTGGGATTACAGGTGGGAGCCACCACGCCCAGCCTTTTTTTTTTTTTTTTTTTTTTTTGATACTGAGTCTCACTCTGTTGTCCAGGTTGGAGTACAGGGTGTAATCTTGGCTCACTGCAACCTCCACCACCTCCCAAGTTCAACTGATTCTCCTGCCTCAGCCTCCCGAGTAATTGGGATTACAGGCACCCACCACCACGCCCGGCCTTTTTTTTTTTTTTTTTTTTTAACAGAGTCTAGTTCTGTCACCCAGGCTGGAGTGCAGTGGTGCAAACTCGGCTCACTGCAACCTCCACCTCCCAGATTCAAGTGATTCTTCAGCCTCAGCCTCCTGAGTAGCTGGGACTACAGGCACATGCCACCACGCCCAGCTAATTTTTTTGTATTTTTAGTAGAGATTTGGTTTCACCATGTTCGCCAGCATGGTCTCGATCTCCTGACCTCATGATCTGCCTGCCTCGGCCTCTCAAAGTGCTGAGATGACAGGCATTAGCCACTGCATGGCCTAATTTTTGTAGTTTTAGTAGAGATGGGGTTTCACCATGTTGGCTAGGGTGGTCTGGAACTCCTGAACTCAAGTGATCTGCCTGCCTCGGCCTCCCAAAGTGCTGGGATTATAGACATGAGCCATCGTGCCTGGCTGGTGTACTGTTTTAATAGAATGCAGAAACAATGCTAAGTGTAAATATTAAATACTTAATATTGGGTAAAAGGAGCCAGAGGCAGCAGGATACAGACTTTTACTCCAATTATGTAAGAGAAAAACCAGGCAAAACCAGACTTGACTTTAGGCTTCTAAAAAATGCATAATAAGGCCAGGCACTGAGGTCAGGAGTTCGAGACCAGCCTGACCAACATGTAAAACCCCGTCTCTACTAAAAATACAAAAATTAGCCAGGCGTGGTGGCATATAGCCCATGCCTGTAATCCCAGCTATTCGGGAGGTTTAGGCATGAGAATCACTTGAATCCGGGAGTTGGAGGTTGCAATGAGTCAAGATCATGCCACTACACTCCAGCCTGGGTGACAGAGCAAGGCTCCATCTCTAAAAAAAAAAAAAAAAAAGAAAAGAAAAGAAAAGAAAAGAAAGAAAAAAATAAATAATAAAATTATAAAGAGAACCAAGGAGAGAAACGCAGACATCCACAGGTAATGTGGGTATCTGTTATATCTGTTACTAACAAGGGAAGGAAGACTTTAGGATCAGTTAGGGGCAAACAGAGGACTTCTTGGTGGTGATAGTGCTCTAGTTCTTCACCTGGATAGGTATCACACAGATGTTTATTTAATAACTGATGTATCCCTATCTTTGTTTGCATATTTCACAATAAGAATGAAATAGAGGAAAGGAAGGTGAATGGAAAGAGATTTCTCCATTCATCCAAATTTTAAAGTCATGTTTTTCCTCAGGTTCTTCTCCAAGTTCTATCTGAAATGGTGAAAGCAACCAAGTGCGGTGGCTCACGCCTATAATCTCAGCACTTTTGGGAGGTAACACAGTGAGACTCTGCCTAAAAAAAATAAAAATAGAGAACAACAGAGTAGTTATCAGGTAGAGAGGAAGGGAGGAAATAAGGACATGTGGGTCAGAGATACACAGTAGCAGATATGTCAGATGAACAATCCTATACATCTATATACAACATGAGGACTATAGGTAATAAAATTGTACTGTATATGGGATTCATGCTAAATAAGATTTTACCTTCCCTTGCCACAAGAAAAAATGTGTGTATCTGTGATAGATATGGTAATTTGCTTCACTATAGTAATGAATTTTTACTATGTATATGTATTCTATAACACCATATGTGTAGCTTAAATATATACAATAAAATTTATTTTAAAGAGAAAAAAATGCCCAGGTGTGGTAGTTCACACTGGTAATCCCAAAACTTTGGGAGGCTGAGGCGGGCGGATCACGAGGTCAGGAGTTTGGCCAACACGGTGAAACCCCGTCTCCACTAAAAACACACACAAAAAATTAGCCGAGTGTGGTGGCACACACTGTAATCTTAGCTACTCAGGCAGTTGAATTGCTTGAACATAGGAGGCAGATGTTGCAGTGAGATGAGATCTCACCATTGCACTCCAGCCTGGGTGACAGGCCGAGACTCCACCTCAAAAAAAAAATGTGTATATATATATATATATATATATATATATATATAGAGAGAGAGAGAGAGAGAGAGAGAGAGAGAGAGAGAGAGAGACAGAGACAGAGACAGATAGAGAGAAAATTTATGAAAGTATGCCCAACAAAATTAAAATGTTGACTGTAAAGTGAGCTACTGAGTGACTGGGGTGCATGAGAGAAAAGGTTACTTAACATTTTTATACCTATTGAATTGTATCCTATGTATGCATTATAAATTTAAATGTGCAATAATGCAGATAACTGAAATGTGGGTATGCTTTGATTAGGACTTTGCATTTCCCATTTGCTCAAATTCCTTATGATTCTAGATGCATATGAATAGAAATACAAAATGTAAGGAGACACGGGACTTCTGATAGCCCTTTCTTCTTTCCACATTTTGTGTCTCTGGCTGTAGTCTGCCATATGACTCCATATGGCTAATGAGCAAAATATTTTTCAGATGGATACATGTGACCAAGCATTGCAAGTTAAAGATATTTCTGAATCTTGGACCTCTTATTTACAGTGAAGCCCCCTCATGCATAGTAAAGCAGTGAGGAATGTAAAAGGTTGCTGCATCGATAATCAATTTCTGGTGAGCAATAATTATAGGTAATGTAAAATGGGACAATTATTGCTTTCCATCATATCTTGAAAGAACTCTTACAGTCCATGATTTTGAAAAAAAATCTAAGTTCACTCTTTTCTTTTCTATTAAAAAAAGACATTATCCAGTAGAAGTTTAAGAGTAAAATCTGAAGGCAGCTTATCTGACCTGGCCACATGGTCTTGCCACTTGTTAAATATAACTTTCTACACACTAACTTCTCCAGACCTCAGATCTTCAACTCTCTAAAATGGAAACCTAGTAGTATTTGTCTCTAGACCTGCAGCTGAACTGAGCATTTTAGGGAGGGAACAAACATACACACGATATATATATAGTCAGATTATGAACCCAGTGTAGCCCAGAATGCAAAAATTTCTCAGTAACAGAGATCCCCAAGAGAAAAATATGATTTAGCTTATCTCAGTGGCCTTTCATGTGGCAAATGAAAAGTTAAAGTCCATAATGAGAAATATATGGGAAGCCAGTGACACCATCCATTCAATGTAGACTCTCAACATCTGTGACAATCATTCCCTGTTGTACCCCAACCTGCTTATATATTGGGGTGATATCATCTTTTGATCATAACATACATAAACCTCAAGCTTCAGTAAGAAATATTTATGAACAACCAGATATTCTGTGCTTCCAGTCAAAACTCAGGTAGATCACATTTTATGTGACAGGAGAAGGCACAGTTGATGCCCAGTTAACCCTGAGATCATCTCTGCCTGCAGCTTCCTATCATCATAGCAAGCTCTTTCCCTGCAGTCCACCATTTGTATCTGCCCTTTGCTATATAGATAGCAAAAATAAGCATCTGAAAAGATGCTTAACACCATATGTCACTAGGGAATTCAAATTAAAACAATGATGAGATACCACTACACATCTATTAGACTGGCTCAAATCCAAACACTGAGACCACCAAATGCTGCTGAGGATATGGAACAACAGGAACTCTCATTGATCGCTTCTGGGAATGCAAAATGGTAAAGCCACTGTGGAAGGCAGTTTTGCAAATTCCTGCAGAACTAAACATATGCTTACCATATGATCTGGCAATTGCATTCTTTGGTATATACTCAACTGACTTGAAAACTTATATCCACTCAAATTCTGCACATGAATGTTTATAGCAGCTTATACATAACCAACAAAGATTGGAAGTAACCAAGATATCCTACAATAGGGAAACAGATAAACTAACTGTGAAACATTCATACAATGGAATATTCTTCAGGAATAAAAAGAAATGAACTACCAAGGCATGACAAGACATGGAGGAATCTTAAACACATATTTCTAAGTGAGAGAAGCCAATGCAAAAAGGCCACATAGTGTAGAGTTCCAATTATATGGAATACTAGAAAAGGCAAAACTAGGCAGATGGCATTATAAAAAGTTCAGTGGTTGCCAGAGGCTTGAGCAGAGGGAAGGATGACTAGGTCGAACACAGAAGATTTTTAGGGCAGTGAAACTTTTCTGTGTGACCCTATAATGGTGGATATATTGCTTAAGCATTTGTCAAAGCCCATAAATGGTAGAACACAAAGAGTGAATCTTAATATAAGCCATGAACTTAATAATATCAATGTTGGCTCATCAAGCTTAACAAATGTACCACACTAACAACATGATAATAGAGAAAGTGTATGTACTGTGGTGTGAGGCAGATATTAGAGATCAATATCCTTTCTGGTCTATTTTTCTGTACACCTACAACTGTTCTAAAAATTAAGTCAATTATTTATTTGTTAATTATTATTTTTTAATTTATTTTTTGAGATGGAGTCTCACTCTGTTGCCCAGGTTGGAGTGCAACAGCACGATCTTGGCTTACTGCAACCTCTGCCTCCCAGGTTCAAGTGATTCTGCTGCCTCAGCCTCCTGAGTAGCTGGAATTACAGGCACGTCCCACCATACCCGGTTAATTTTTTGTATTTTTAGTAGAGATGGGGTTTCACCGTGTTAGCCAGGATGGTCTTAATCTGCTGACCTCATGATCCACCCAACTTGCCCTCCCAAAGTGCTTAGATTACTGGCATGAGCCATCGCACCAGGTCTTATTTATCTTTTTAGACAGGTTTTAGCTCTGTCACTCAGGCTGGAGTGCAGTGGTACAATCATGGCTCAATGCAGCCCCAACCTCCAGGGCTCAAGTAACCCTCCCACCTCAGCTTCCTGAGTAGCTGGGACCACAAGCGTGTGTCACCATACCTGGCACATTTCTTAGACCTCTGAAAAGATGCTCAACACCATATGTCACTAGGAATATTCAGTATTCAAATAGAGGCTTCAATGGGCTCTGAAATATCCCCTCCTGAACTCTATAAAAAGCGTGTTTCCAACTGGCTGAATGAAAACAAAGGTTTACATCTGTGAGATGAATTCACACATCAGAAAGCGTTTTCACCAAGAACTTTTCTAGTTTTATAGCAAGATGTTCATTTTTTCAATATTGGTCTCAGTGGTCTCCAAAATGTCCCTTTGTACAGTCTACAAAAATTTTTGCCAACGTACTGAATCAAAACAAATGTTTAACACTGTGAGATGAATTTTCACATCACCAAACATTTTTACAGATAGTTTCTATCTAGTTTTTAATCACAAAACTTTGAATTGTTCCCTATAAGCCTCAAAGGGCTCTAAATTGTCCCCTCTTAGCTTCTACTAAAAGAGAGTTTTGAACCTACTGTGTAGAAACAAAAGTTTAACTCTGTGAAATAAATCCCCACATTGCAAAGCAATTTCACAGATAGCTTTCTTCTAGTTTTTATCATGAATTATTCAGCTTTTCACTATAGGCCTCAGTGGGATCCAAAATGTCCCTTCATACATTCTACAAAAAGAGTGTTTCCAACTTAGCTGAATCAAAAGAAAGTTTAAGCTGTATGAGATGAAACCGTAAATTGCAAAGCATTTTCACATATAGCTTCTATAGTTTCTATCATATAATATTCAGTTTTTCACTATAGGCCTCCATGGGCGATGAAATGCCCCCTCATAAGTTCTATAAAAAGGGGTTTCCAACATGCTGAATGAAAACAAAGATTTAACTTTGTGAGATGAACCCACACATCACAAACCATTTTTATAGATAGATTTTCTCTAGTTTTTATTGCAGAATATTCGATTTCATGCTATAGGCCTCAATTTGCTCCCAAAGTTCCCCTTGTAGATTCTACAAAAAGAATATTTCCAACCTGCTGAATCAAAACAAATGTTCAATTCTGTGAGATGATATGCAAAGCTTTTTCACAGATAGCCTGTTTCTAGTTTTTATCCTGGGGTATTTGGTTTTTCACTGTAAGCATCAATGGGCTCTGAAATGTCCCTTTGTAGATTCTACAAAAAGAGTGTTTCCAACCTGTTGAATCAAAACAAAGTTTTAACTTTGTGAGATGAAACCACACATCTCAAAGCATTTTCACCCATAGCTTTTTTCTAATTTTTACCATGGATTATTGGTTTTTCACTAAATGCCTCAATGGACTATGAATTGTTGCCTTGTAGATTGAACAACCAAAGAGTTTCCAACCTGCTGAAGGAAAACACAGGTTTAACTTTGTAAGATGAATCTACCCATTGCAAAACATTTTTACAGATAGGTTGCTTTGAGTTTTTATCAAGAGATATTTGATTTTTCACTGTGTGCTTCAATGGGTTATGAAATCTCCCCTTGTAGATTCTACAAAAACAGTTTCCAAACTGATGAATCAAAAGAAAAGTTCAACTTTTGACATAAAATCACACATCACAAAGTATTTTCAGAAACAGCTTCTTTATAGTATTTATCACAGGATATTAGATTTTCCAATATTAGCCTCAACGAGCTCTGAAATGTCCCTTTGTAGATTGTACAAAATGAGTGTTTCCAACCTATGGAATAAAAAGGAAGGTTTAACTCTGTGAGATAAATCCAGGCATCACAAAGCATCTTCACAGATGGCTTGTTTCTAATTTTTATTGTGGGATATTTGGTTTTTCACAAAAGGCCTCAAGCACTCCAAAATATCCCTTTGTAGATTAATAACAAGAGTGTTTTATGGCTGCATAGTATTCCATGGTGTATATGTGCCACATTTTCTTAATCTAGTCTATCACTGTTGGATATTTGGGTTGGTTCCATGTCTTTTCTATTGTGAATAGTGCCGCAATAAACATACATGTGCATGTGTCTTTATAGCAGCATGATTTGTAGTCCTTTGGGTATATACCCAGTTCATGTCCTTTGTAGGGACATGGATGAAATTGGAAATCATCATTCTCAGTAAACTATCGCAAGACAAAAAAACAAACACCGCATATTCTCACTCATAGGTGGGAATTGAACAATGAGAACACCTGGACACAGGAAGGGGAACATCACACTCTGGGGA